>NC_000001.11:210760344-210911859 GCF_000001405.40 Homo sapiens
TCTCAGCAGAAACCTTGCCAGCCAGAAGAGATTGGGGACCATTTTTGGCATTCTTGAAAAGATAAGCCAGCCAAGAATTTCATTTCCTTCCAAAGAAAGCTTCATAAACAAAGGAGAAATAAAGTGTTTCCCAGACAAGCAATTGCTAAGGGAATTCATCACTACCAGACCAGTCCTACAAAAAATGCTTAAAGGAGTCCTAAACATGGAAACAAACGAATGTGTATTTGTCTGTTTTCATGCTTCTGATAAAGACATAACTGAGACTGGGCAATTTACAAAAGAAAAAGTTTTAATGGACTTACAGTTCCATATGGGGAGGCCTCACGATCATGGCAAAAGCCAAGGAGACACAAGTCGCATCTTACATGGATGGTAGCAGGCAAAGAGAGAGGGCTTGTGCAGGGAGATTCCTCTTTATAAAACCATCAGATCTCATGAGACTTATTCACTATCATGAGAACAGCAAGGGAAAGACCTGCCCCTATGATTCAATTATTGAATATGATTCAATTACCTCCCTCCAGGTCCCTCCCAAAACACATGGGAATTCACGATGAGATTTGGGTGAGAACACAGTCAAATCATATCAGAATGATACTTGCTACCACAAAAGTACATGTAAAGGCCGGGCGCGGTGGCTCACGCCTGTAATCCCAGCACTTTGGGAGGCCGAGGCGGGCGGATCACAAGGTCAGGAGATCGAGACCATCCCGGCTAAAATGGTGAAACCCCGTCTCTACTAAAAATACAAAAAATTAGCCGGGCGTAGTGGCGGGCGCCTGTAGTCCCAGCTACTTGGGAGGCTGAGGCAGGAGAATGGCGTGAACCCGGGAGGCGGAGCTTGCAGTGAGCCGAGATCCCGCCACTGCACTCCAGCCTGGGCGACAGAGCGAGACTCCGTCAAAAAAAAAAAAAAAAAAAAAAAAAAGTACATGTAAGCACATAGCCCATGGACCCTATAAAGCAATGACAGAATTGAGACTAGTCAACTAGTTGTTGGCAACTAGCCAACAACACTACAACAGGAACAAAATCTCACAAAGCAACATTAACCTTGAGTGTAAATGGTCTAAATGCTCCAATTAAAATACAGAGAGTGGCAAATTGGATTAAAAAAACAAGACTCATCCTTTTGCTATCTTCAAGAGACCCATCTCACATGTAATGACACCCACAGACTCAATGTAAAGAGATGGCAAAAGATCTACTGCACAAATGGAAAACATAAGACAGCAGGGGGTCGCTAGTCTTATATCACATAAAATAGGCTTCAAACCAACAAAAGTAAAAAAGGACAAAGAATAACATTACATAATGATAAAGGTGTTCAAATCAACAAGAACACTTAACTATCCCAAATATATATACAATTAAAATTGGAACATTCAGATTTATAAGACTATTATTTCTAGACCTGAGAAATGACTTTGATAGTCACGAAATAATAGTGGGGGACTTCAATATCCCACTGACAGCAATAGACAGGTAGTCAATGCAGAAAAATAACAAAGAAATTCTGGACTTAAATTTGGTACTCGACCAATCGGACTTAATAGACATCTACAGAATACTCTACCCAACAACCACACAGTATACATTCTTCTCATCTGCACATGGAACGTACTCTAAGACTGACCACGTGCTTGGTCATACAGCAAGTCTCAATAAATTCAAAAAAATCAAAATCATACAGTGGAATAAAAATAGAAATCAATTCCAAATGAACTCTTAAAACTACCCAAATACATGGAAACTAAACAACTTGCTCCTGAATGACTTTTAGGTAAAAAACAAAATTAAGGCAGAAATTAAAAAAAAATTCTTCGAAACAAATGAAAATAGAGACATGACATACTAAAATCTCTGGGATGCATCAAAAACAGTGTTAAGAGGAAAGTTTATAGTTCTAAATGCCTATATCAAGAAGATAGATAGATCTGAAATTAACAACCTAAGATCAGAGCTAAAGGAACTAGAAAACAAGAACAAGCTAAACCCAAAGCTAGCAGAAGAAAAGAAATAGCAAAAATCAGGGCAGAACTAAATGAAACTGAGACCAAAAACCATAGGGAGGATCAACAAAACAGAAGGTTGGTTCTTCGAAAAGGATAAACAAGTTCGATAGACCACTAGCTAGATGAACAAAGGAGAGAGAAGCTCCAAATAAGCACAACCAGAAATGACAAAGACAATATCACAACCAATCCCACAGAAATATAAAAGATCCTCAGAGACTATTATGAACATCTCTATGTAGACAAACTAGAAAATCTAGAAGAAATTGATAAATCTCTGGAAACACATAACCTCTCAGGATTGAATCAGGAAGAAAAAGAAATCCTGAAAAAAACAATAGTGAGTAATGGAATTGAACCAGTAATAAAAAACCTGCCAACCAACAAAAGCCCTGGACCAGATGGATTCACAGCCAAATTCGACCAGATATACAAAGAAAAGCTGGTTCCAATCCTACTGAAACTATTTTTAAAAATCAAGGAGGAGGGACTCCTCCTTAACTCATTCTACTAAATCAGCATCATCATGATACCAAAATCTGGCAAAGACACAACAAAAAAAGAAAACTACAGATCAATATCTCTGATGAACATAGATGCAAAAATCTTCAGCAAAATACTAGGAAACTAAATCCAGCAGCACATCAAAAAGTTAATTCACTGTGAGCAAGTGGGCTTTATTCCTGGGATGCAAGGATGGTTCAACATGTGCAAATCAAAAAATGTAATTCACCATATAAACAGAATGAAAAATAAAAACCATGTAATCATCTCAATAGATGCAGAAAAAGTAGTCAATACAATCCAACATCTCTTTATAATGAAAACCCTCAAAAAACTGGGAATTGAAGGAACACATCTCAAAATAATAAAAGCCATCTATGACAGATCCACAGCCAACATCATACTGAATGGACAAAAGGCAGAAACATTCGCCCTAAGAACTAGAACAAAACAAAGATGTTCACTCTCATCACTCCTATTCAACATAGTAATGGAAGTTCTAATCAGAGTAATCAGACAAGAGAAAGAAATAAAGGGCATCCAAACAGGAAAGGAAGAAGTCAAACCATCTCTTTGCTGATGATATTATTCTATATCTAAAAAACCCTAAAGACCAAAAGTCTCCTAAATTTGATGACTTCAGGAAAGTCTCAGGATACAAAATCAACATACAAAAATCAGTAGCATTTCTATACACCAATAATATGCAAACTGAGAGCCAAATCAAGAATGCAATTTCATTTGCAGTAGCCACACACACAAAAATAAAATACCTAGGAATACATCTAACCAAGCAAGTAAAAGACCTCTCCTGGAAGAACTATTAAGCACTATTTAAATAAATCATAGACAACACAAACAAACAGAAAAGCATTCCATACTTATGAATTGGAAGAATCAGCATCATTAAAATGTGCATACTTCCCAAAGCAATGTACAGATTCAACACTATTCCTATCAAGTTACCAATGTCATTTTTTTCACAGAATTAGAAAAAAACTATTCTAAAATTCATATGGAACCAAAAAACAGCGCAAATAACCAAGGCAATCCTACACAAAAAGAGTAAAGCTGGAGGCAATCACATTATCCAACTTCAAAGTACATTACGAGGTTACAGTAACAAAAACAGCATGGTACTGGTACAAAAACAGATGAATACACCAATGGAACAGAATAGAAAGTTTGAAATGAAGCCACACACCTAAAACTAACTGGTCTTTGACAAAGCCAACAAAAATAAACAATAGGGAAAGAATACCCTATTCAATAAATGATACGAGAAAATTGGCTAACTATATGCAGAAGAATGAAACTGGACCCCTACCTCTCACCATATACAGAAATTAACACAAGATGAATTAAAGACTTAAATGTAATACCTCAAACTATAAAAATCCTAGAAGAAAACCTAGAAAACACCCTCCTAGATATTGACCTAGGCAAATAATTTATGCTAAGTCCTCAAAAGCAAATGCAACAAAAATTAAAATTGACAATTGGGGTCTAATTAAATGAAAGAGCTTCTGCACAGCAAAAGAAACTATGAACAGAGTAAACAGACAATCTACTGGATGGGAGAAAATATTTACAAACCATGCATCTGATAAAGAACTAATATCCAGAATCTATGAGGAACTTAAATCAACAAGCAAAAACCAAATAACTTCATTAAAAAGTGGGCAAACGACATGAACAGATGCTTCTCAAAGGAAGACATCCTAATGGCCAAGAAACATGAAAAAATGTTCAACATCACTATCATCAAAGAAATGCAAACCAAAACCACAAAGAAATACCATCTCACACCAGTCAGTATGGTTATTGTTAAAAAGTCACAAAATAACAGATGGTAAGGTTGGGAAGAAAAGGGAATGCTTACATACTGTTGGTGGGAATGCCAATTAGTTTAGCCCCTGTGGAAAACAGCTTGGAGATTCTCAAATAGCTAAAAATAGAATTACCATTCGACCTAGAAATCCCATTACTGGTTATAAACCCAAAGGAAAATAAATTGTTCTACCAAAAAAGACACCTGCACTCATATGTTTATCACAGCACTATTCACAATAGCAAAGACATGGAATCAACCCAGGTGCCCATCAACAGTAGACTGGATAAACTATGGTACATATACACTATGGAATACTACAGAGCCATTAAAAAGAACAAAATCATGTCCTTTGCAGCAACATAAATGCAGCTGAAGGCCATTATCCTAAGTGAACTAATGCACAAACAGAAAACTATGTACCACATGTTCTCACTTACAAGTAGTAGCTCAACATTGAGTACACATGGACACAAAGATGGGAACAATAAACACTTGGGATTCCAAAACTGGGGGTGGGGGTACAGAAGGGTCCAAAACTGGGCAGGGGGTAATGGTGGCGGGTGGAAGGGTTGAAAAACTATCTACTACTGGGTAGTATGTTCACTACTTGGGTAGTGGGATCACTAGAAACCCAAACCTCAGCATCATGTAATATACCCATGTAACAAACCTGCACACATACCCCCAGAATCTAAAATTTAATAAAACAAACAACCACAAAAAGAGTATGGGCTTGGTGATTGCCAGGCTTGAGCTACAATTCTAACTCCAATTAGCTTAATGGATCAGAAGCAAATTATTTAACCTATCTTGGCCTCAGCACCTAAGTGAGATACATGTAAATGCGTTAACTCATACTTGGCAGATGAGACAATAAATTGGGATGGTTATTATATTTTATGCTGGCACCAGGGGTATCTGCAGAGGCTGAGAGACCTCTACAATCAGGGCCTGGGGGAGAGAAAAAGAAGGGAAAAGGGGCTATGAAATATATAGGAAAAGCTTCAGAGGGACAAAGAAGGAAAGATGTCTCTGCCGATACCATCTTTTAGCCAAGGCTTTAAGAATATACACCAATAGGCCAGGTGTGGTGGCTCATGCCTGTAATCCCAGGACTTTGGGAGGCCGAAGCAGGCAGATCACTTGAGGTCAGGAGTTTGAGACCAGCCTGGCCGAGATGGTGAAACCCTGTCTCCAATAAAAATACAAAAAATTAGCCGGGCGTGGTGGCAGGCACCTGTAATCCCAGCTAGTCGGGAGGCTGAGGCAGGAGAATTGCTTGAACCCGGGAGGTGGAGGTTGCAGGGAGCCGAGATCGCGCCACTGCACCCCAGCCTGGGCAACAGAGGGAGACTCTGTCTCAAAAAAGAAGAAGAAAAAAAGAATGTATAGCAGTAATAAGATGGAGGGACATGCCCAATATTGGTTGGTAGATTTGTATATTTTTGTTGGTTGGTTGGTTGTTTCACTGATTGACTCATTCAATTATTGAACATTTACTTTGTACCAAGCTCTAAAAAAGCTGATCAAGTCAGAGAAGTGTGGCCAGGTAGGGTAGTTCCCGCCTGTAATCCCAGCACTTTGGGAGGCTGAGGCAGGCGGATCACCTGAGGTCAGGAGTTTGAGACCGGCCTGGCCAACATGGAGAAACCCCGTCTCTACTAAAAATACAAAATTAGCTGGGCATAGTGGCACATGCCTGTAATTCCAGCTACTCAGAAGGCTGAGGTGGGAGAATAACTTGAAACCAGGAGGCAGAGGTTGCGGTAAGCCAAGATCATACCATTGCACTCCAGCCTGGGCAACAAGATTGAGGGGGGGTGGGGAGTTAACTGGAAGTATAATGAGAGCTACAAAGAGGTGATTGTTGCTAATTGGATTAAAAGACAAGGGGCTTCATCTAGACTAGAGAAATTAAAGAGAAGATATATGGAGTCAGGGTCCCATTATGAATTCAAAATTTCAATCTAGAAATCTAAGTTAAGCACAGGCAGGGTAAAGACCATTAAGTGACATTAGTAAAAAGTAAATTGCCAACAACAAAGTTTGCAGAGAGATAAACCAAAACCGCGTGGACCTCTGACATACATTATACCAGATATGGTCTGCACGGACATTTGGTCTGGAATAGATTCTTTATGTGAGCTCATATGCAGGCATTCAAAGTCCCCTTGGAAATAGGGGAGAACTAACATTTCTTTTTATTAATCTAACATCTTATAAAGTAGTTATTGTTATCAGAGGAGAGGCAGCCTGGGTTCAAATCCTGACTCTGCTTACCAAAAGCAAAGGCTAGAATGAAAACCTCCATGACTTACTGTCAAAATTTGTAAGGACATGCTCAAAACCACAGAGCACATTTTTAAGAGTAGAAGGAACAATAAATAGGAAAAAGGAAGTCCAAAAAACTTGGCAGATGGGTTCGAAATGTAAAATTTGGCTAGGCCAAAGAAAGAATGAGAAAGTAACTTGCAAGGAGGGACTTTGAAGCTAGTTAGAAAACATCCTTTGACAGCCTTCTAGTATTAGCACATGTGAAATGCACTTTGAAAACATGACTGGCTGCTCACTGGAAAATGAGTGGGCCACTGGGCATTTGTAAGAGGTGGGAGGGGAGCTGAGTTGAGGAAGATGTTTAGAAATTAGCGAGACCCTGCCAGTAATCTCTGTTTGGGATTTTACTGAGGACCAGGTGATAGTGATTCCCTGTGCTAGAGTATATTTTGGCTTCTTGATGTTTCAGAGGCAAGACCTGTTCGCTCCACAAGTCAGTGATCATTTGAGCTGGAAGAGATACTAAAGAGCATCTAGACCCTGCTTCCTAAATGTGCTCTGTAAAACACTAGCTCTAGTGGATTTTTACAGGTATTTCATAATAGATAATACTTACAGATATCATTCAAAATTTTAGGGAGCACATGAATGAGAAATCTTGGGTTAAACATCTAAGACATCAAGAAGCCAACTTGCTTGCTTGAGGATGAACTTCTGATCTAGGATCCATTAGCACTACCCTTATTATGCCTCAACTACATACACCTAAGAAAATATTATTAAGGATGCTACTCTCCTCCAAAAGACTGCACTAGCCTTATACTCTTCTAAGCTAGGCCAGATCTTTTCTAATTTGTGGTAAACACTGTATGTAACAGTACATCAAGTAACTTGATGACTATTAAAAGATAAGTTACAACTTTCCTCCTCCTTCCTCTCTTCCACATCTGACTCTACCATTCCCTCCATTCATTCTGTTATAGGAGGAATCAGATCCATTTTGAATCCAACAGAGCCATTCTTCACCAAACCTCACTGATGAACCACCTGGATCTCTAGGGCTACTTGAGGGGCCCAGGCTCAAATTTTAGAATTTTCTGTTTAGGAGATTTCTAGATGTTAAAATTCAGTCCATCACTTCTTTTTAAAAACTTTTAGCACCTGATGGGATCTAAGTCCCAGAAAAGCTAACTAATACATTTGATTGATTTTATTGTCATCATCCTTATCATTATCATCGTCTTCTTTATCATAATTATAGCCATATAAACATTGAAAATTTGCCATGTCAAAGCATGCTTCTAAGGCCTCTATTTCATACCTGAATAAAATAGGGCCTAGAGAGGTTAGGTAACTGGCCTGAAGTCACTAAGTAGGGCCAGGATTTGAACTCAAATACTCTGACTGCAGGATCCACATTTTAAACCACCAGTCTAGTACCTCCATATGATTATTCTACCAGCCAAACTATTATGGCTCCTATTCTTCTTTGCTCTGCTGCCCCCATTGCTATGAATAATGGAAGAGAAATAACACAGCTACATACTTACCACACGTGAGGCAACATGCCTGGCACTTTCTCACTCTTTCCCATCACTACCATTTGGGGTAGGCGATGTAGATCCACGGAAGACCACAAGGTATACTTGTTCAATGCCCACCCATCCTGACCCCCTGCCCCAGCTAGCAAATGGCAGAGCCTGGATGTGAAGATCTAGCTTTAAAGCCCGTGTTCATTCCAGAACTTTATTACTTCCTTAAAAATAGCCAGACATAGCCTGACTACAATTTAAGCTAATTCATACATAATGAAGCATGGAGCACTTTTATTATCTTCCACCTCCAGCATCATCATGGGGTTCTGCTAAATGTTCTCGGGGTACTGGGGAACACCTGAGGACCCATGAAAGACTGCACAGGTCCCTAACATCACTCACTGATCCTCTTGAGGAAAACAGAACTTGATTTTGATTTATAGTTTGTTGTTCTAAAAGAATTATGGTCATGTCACTCACATCATCTCTCCCCCTCCCCCGACTCCTAATTCCAACACCATGATTTTATTATCTTTTTGGCTTGACAGACTAATAGATGATTTTAATTTCACAGAAGCCCACATAGGAGGGATGACAAGGAAAATATGGGCTATGCAGATATCATTTTTAAAACTTAGGCTATGATGACTCAGGGGGGAAGTGGATGACATTTTTAAGTACCTAGCTTTATGGTTTATCTTTCCATCTTATCAACCTTCCACAATAATTTATTCAGGGAGAAAATTTAAAAGCTTTCCAATGCCACTTATGAGCAGAGCTTTCTCCAAGCATTCAATGCTTTCATCTTCTCTTCTCCAGAATAAAATGCTCTTTGGTTAAAGTGGGCTAGAAATGTACATATGGTATTCAAGACAGTTCACTATGGCAACCTCAGTTTTAGAAAACAGGCATTAGGAGGGCTCAGCTTTGAGAACATCAGTAACTATAGTCCCAGCTCCCTCCCAAACTCACTAAGTTGGGGCTTTAATCAAACAAAAAAAATTCATCCTGGAACAAATTAATATAAACAAACACTGCACAAAACAAACTCTATACACAACAATATTGGCTTTAAAAATAAAGCCCTACACACAGAATGAGAACCGCCCTCCCAATTACCTACGTGCCAATTATCCCATGCACTGACTGCTGTTAATTACCTAATTGCTTGTCTGCAGTACATCATTTAATTGTGGTACATTGCTTCTACTGTCCTAATGATCAGCAGGAGAACGTAATTCCCTAGGACCTGGGGAGTGAAACCTTATCTCAGGTTGAAAGGAAAGTAGAGCCCAAGTGAAACATCGACTAAAGAAATGTCTGGTTATTAACCAAGGGCAACAAAGTGTGAATTCAGAACCTCTAAGACTGGAGGTGGAAGTAGGGGATGGGCAGTGGGGAGGAGAAAGGGAAAAATATGTATTGAGTGGTTCCTGCAGGTAATGTGTCACTTTTTCTTTTTGTTTGTTTTACCGTATGTAAACTTCTCAATAAACCCAATTAGGGCAGCCATAAAAAAGAATGAGTTCATGTCCTTTGCAGAGACATGGATGAAGCTGGAAACCATCATCCTCAGCAAACTAACACAGGAACAGAAAACCAAACACCACATGTTCTCATTCATAAGTGGGAATTGAACAATGAGAACACATGGACACAGGGAGGGGGAACATCACACACTGGGGCCTGTTTGGGGTGTGGGGGGGTCAAGGGGAGAGAGAGCATTTGGACAAAAACCTAATGCACATGGGACTTAAAACCTAGATGATGGGTTGATAGGTGCAGCAAACCACAATGGCACATGTATACCTATGTAACAAACCTGTACGTTCTGCACATGTATCCCAGAACTTAAAATAAATAAACAAAATGCCAAAAACCTAATTAGGAAGGACTTGTATCAGCCCCTTTTCACAAACAAGGAAACTGAGGCTCTGAATGGTTAAGTAATTTGCCCAAAGGCACATAGCTGGTCAGCAGTCAAATCAGTATTCAAACATAGTCCTTAGACTCAAAGCATTGGCCTTTCTAGTGAGTTACTAATAGCATGGCCGGGTTAACCCGCTGCCTAACGAAAGCGAAATGTGTCATGCCTCCCACACCCATCACATCCAGCTACTTGCTGTGTGCCTGTCACTACGAGGGGGAAATTTGTCACATCTCCCAACCTGGGGTATTACTGTGGTTTTACCGTACATGTTTCTGAGTGTATTGGCGGTGGCAAAGGCCACTGGAGAAAGATACTTAGGAGACAACCCAAGCTACTCCTGAAAAGTTAACAGACTAGAAGAATGCAGAAGCCAAAGAATGCCAATATGGGAACAGCTGAGAGCCACACTTCACTGAGGCTACCACAGAATGTGACACTCCTTAGCCAGAAGAGCACGTGCCAGGTTTGGAATCTGCCACTTATTAACCGGGCAACCTTGGAAAAGGGGTTTTCTTCCTCACAGGGTCCTAGTTTATTCCATTGAGAAATGGGAATGATACAGTAATGTCATGAGGCTGTTCCGAAGATGTAATAAGCTGACATACACGTACTGATACTGTGACGTAGCTTGTACAATATCTGGAGTTGGTAATAATTTACTATTTATAGTCTGCAAAGCTCTGATTACAGACACAAGATGATTCTAGGCTTTGAGGAAAAAGCGCATAGACCTTGCACCCTAGAGAGCCAAGGGTTTGATGAGGAAGGCTCTACTTCCCCTTCTTTTCATGAATAGCCACAAGCCACCTCCCTCAGAAGAAACAATAGCGCTGTGCTTTTCTTTTGTGCCTCCCTCTAGACTTCCTGTTAACTGACCTAAGATCTCAAAATAGCCTGATTTTTCCCTCCAAGAATGGAACTGGCCAAAACAGTGGGCAAATGCTGACCTCTTCACTGTCAGGAGCTGAAGAGGCAGCAAGGCCAGCAATGGATTCCACTTCCCAGAGCGACTGATCCCTCCTTTGCTGCAAGAGGTGCAGAGAACCTGCGGATAACACCTACCCCACAGAACATTGCGCAGGGCAATAACCCTGCATGAACAAAGGCAGAGGAACTGCCTTCTTTTTACTTTACAAAAGGCACAGGATAATAAAGAATAGGGTATCAATCACGTGGACAGAACAAAATAACAATAACATACAAATGAATTGAGCACTCGCTATGTAGTAGTAGGCTTCATGTGAGCTTTGCAAATATTATCTTATTTAATGCTTGCAACTATCCTACAAGTTAGAAATTTTCATCATCCGCATTTTACAGAAAAGGAAGCTTTTATAGCTCCTCCAGAATTATAGAAGCAATAAGTGGCAGAAGCAGGACCCAGACCAAAGTCTCACCTGGCTCAGACCTCACAAGCAAGAAAAACTAAAGGCCAAAATGCTGGATTTGCCTCCAGGTTCTGCCTCTTTCATCCTTGTCTGTGCCCTCATGTGGCTTTGGAGGAAATGGAGGAAGGCAACAGTTTCTTCCTGAGTTGGGTTCCAAGAGCAGAGCTGAGAGCTAGGTGATGTTCATACCCTTGGATTTAGGGAAAAAGGGATGTGGCTTAGAATACAGAGGCTAGAGTAGAACAGGAAACTGTGATCAGGAAGACTTTGGCCAAGGTGTCACTTCTGGCTCCAATTCTTTCATCCCAACCCAGCTCTGTGACCTTTCTATAAAATGTGAAATGAGGGTGTTAGGGAAGTAGAGAAGAGATTGAACGGTTACCAAGTCATCTTCTAGCTCAGAGTCTTTGCTGCACATTGGAGAAGATCAACAAGATCAAGAAACTCCCCAGATAGATGTCAAAGGCACTGTGTTGTCAAGAATCTTAGCAAATAAAACACTTAATTTTGCCAAGATAGAAACAGCTACAACAATACACTTTACTTTACCAGGAAAAAAAAATAGCTAGGAGAATAATTCATGCATGTAATGTTCTTGTCTTCCATGCCCTACGTAACTACGAATTAATTCTCAGAAGGACACAATGAGAGACTACAATGGCAATAATAAAATGACAAGCCTCTTTTTTTTTTTTTCCAAAAAAGAATGGCTACCTCTTTACACAAAGGCTTTCACTAAACTTCCTCTGGATCCATACCAGACTCATATATAGTCACTTAGAGTTAGAAGAAAATTTGAAGGTCAGCTAGTTTGACTCTCCAACAGTCGCCTAAGTCCCTTCCACAATGTTTCTGAATATGGGTACCTAGGAGATGCCTAAGTACCCTCATAATAACAAATTTGATACACTCAAAGCAGCCTATTTCATTCTTTGGGGAGCTCTGATTTTTTTCAAAAGACTTTTTATACTGTGCCAAAATCTGTCTATAATTTTGGTTCTTCCTCTGTACCCTGTGGCTATAAAAAATCCTCCACAACAGCCCTTCAAAAATGTAGCCCCTGCGTCTTCTCTTCTGCAGAGCTATCACTCTACTTACAGAAAAAATCTGACCACTGAGGTGTCATTGTTTTTGTTGTCATTCTTGTTTTTTTTTAAAGACAGATTTACTTGAGCCACAATTATTCCAAGAAGATTACTCCTCCAAATAACCCAAACTGCATATTTTTTCAACCTATATTATCAGCAACACTGAAAGCTGATTATAATCAACTTGCTTTCATAGAAAGAAGGAATACATCAAAAAATAGCTTATAAGAGAATCCACTTGGCTAAATGTATCACCAGCAAGCATCCCATGTTCCCAACCAACAGATCAACCAGGAAGAACATTGGATGCACATTTCTCCACCACTGCCCACCCTCCACTAGAATTTAAATGGCCAGGTTTCAAACCACAGAACTATAAAAACCATCTTGCCACAATCTTGCATTTTATTATGTGGAAGTTGAGGCCCAGAGTTGAGGCCCATCTCTTTCTCCTTGCCATCCTCAAATATTTATTAATTCTAGGCACCCCACACTTGTTTATGCACTGAGGATACTAAGGCACCAAGCCCTTGCCTTCTCAGGTCTCTGTGCAGGGACCCACAAGATAGTCCAAGGGATTTAAAACAGGTGGAGGAATATTGCTGGGGTAGCCCCGTGACAGGCATTGGAACCTTGTACAAAGGACTTAGAAGACAAAGGGTTGTTTCCTTTCTCCAGGCTTTGCTCAAACTGCCCCTCCCAGTAGATCATTGGCCCCTTCTGTTAGGCAAACTCATTCTTTGGATTCAGCTAGGTATCACCCCTGACAATTAATCCTTGACTCCCTTTAGCTGTCCCCCTCCTTTATGCTCCCATAATACCTTGTTCAAATCACAATCACTGTACTTAGCACTTCTACGCATTTATCTTTCTTGTGTTAATCTTTTCCATTAGACTTTAGGTTCCCAGAGATAGGGAACTGAGTATCATTGGGTTTTATATGTCTAGTCTAGTTCAGTTGGCACAATACTGGGTTTGATGAATGAAAAAGTAAACATTTCAGCAGTTTTTAGGGCTAACAGGGGTTTGTCACACACAGAAAAGAATTCCAGGTTGAGAAAGCAGCAGGCAGAGACACGGCACTCTGAAGGGATGTGGTGTGCTTGGAGTACTGTGTGGAATTCTCATGGTGGCAGTTCAGGGTGGGAAAGGTGGGCATGGGGATAAGTGGTTGAGTTCGGGGCTCAGGGGTTAAGTTTGGGCCAGATGTGGACAATCACATACACCATGCTGAAATGTGCAGATATTATCCCTTAGTCAGGTGGGAGACTGACAGATCAGATTTTTAAGGTTAGTCAAGCAGCCATAAGAAGGAAGCACTCCACTGAGGGCAGACACGAGGCAGGAAGGTGAGTTTGGAGCCCATTGCATGATCCAGCTAGGGCATGAGGAAGGTTTTTAATGAAGAGCTTTGTGTCCTGAGAATTCTGTGGGGGCCTTGAGGATGAAGGCAAAGTACTGACTTAGAGTTGAGCGCTTAGGCAGAACCAACAGGATCTGTTGAGTAACACAAGGCCTCAGAGAGGGGGAAGCAGCATCAACGTTGATGCCAGGGTTTCTAACTTGGAACCCCAGGACAAATCAGACAATGTAAATAGGAACCGTGAGACAGTGAGCAGGTTGGGAGAAAGATTATGAGGTCATTTTAGGAAAGATTCCTATGACAACCTTTCCATATGATTTCTCCAGGTGCAGAGCTATCTTGTTATTGTTTTAACCAAAAGAGTCAGAGAGATGAAGTGCAAGAAAATCCGTCATGAAAACCTCAAGAGTACAAGACCAATACTTTAATCCTCACAGAGATAGATGGAGGAGTTCTGATGATTTGAGAGTGAAAGAAACAATTTCAGGTCAAAGATCTTCTGGTTCTTAAACCACCAATCATTTCTCAACCAGTTTAGTTGGGAGTTGAATGCAAAATATTCTCTAGACAAACAAATTCCATGTCTCTCTTATTCTCTGGACCCAACTAAATCATTTTCATATCTGTTAAAAAATTACCATTACTAGCTGGCAGGCTAATGGCTTCATACTACTCAGCAAATCCCAGTCACCACAGAGAATTCAGTTTACATTAATTAAATGGCCCCACAGAGCCATGTTGCTGACTAGCAACCTCACATTTCACTCATCTTTTCAAAATGCTAGCAGGTCTAGATATTGATGGGGGAAAAAAAAGCCACCTCCCTGCCCCCTCCAAGCACATAAATAAATCCCTTCTGCACCAAAACGGATCCATCTTCTAATCTAGCAACATCCCCTCTCTCCTCCATTTTATAGCAAAAGCCCCGCAGAGCAAACAACAAACAGATCCTCTTTAGAACCAATTACTCTACTTAAATAAACAGCAAAGGGACTTTTCTGGTCACAGTGATTATCCAAAGTGTACAGAGACTGTTCTTTGTGGAAAATAACTGAAACTTTTAGCTCACCCTCTTCCTCAAGTTGTACGTCAGAATCAGGTTCCGGGAGAAGGAATGGGAGAAGGCCGTGTAGAATTCCAGCACTTTCTGCAGGGCATCCCGCTTGATCACATGCAGATCACAGTAGGTCAAGGCCCTAACATTGGCACAGGACTGGGCAAGGGTGGCTTCCTTCCAGAACACATCTCCAAACACGTCTCCTTTTCCTAAGGAGAGAAGGTTGTCATGAGGAAAGTGTTGGCCAGGAGAGGTCTGCCCATCCAGCTGGCTTCCCTCTATTCCCCAGAATTGCTGTCCTTTCAGCATTCTGCAGATTGGGCTCAGAGAAGGCAAACACTATTTTAACGTGAACCTTAATAACATCCTTAACAACATGCAGTTTAAGAAATGTTAAAGTAGCAGTTAACACATGCCAAAGTTTAATCACTTTGAGATCATTTATGTCACCTCCTCAAAGGGTTATCTTGATCATGCTATCCAAAATAGGACACACACACCCATTATTCTTTATCACACCCCCTTTTTCCCCTATAACACTGATAATAATCCTTCATTATATTACTTATTTACTGGTTTATTGCATGTATCTCAACTTGATAGCTCATGTGTCTTATTCATCCACATAACACAGTGCCTGCACATGGTGGGAGCTCAACCAATATTTATAGGCAGAAGGAAAGAATGGAGGTAGACTGTGGTGGGTCTATATTAGCGTGACTGAGAGGTGAATATTTAAGGGAGCACGTGGACTCTTCATCAGAAATCTAATGAGCAAGAGAGGTTTCCTTTCTCTGGGATGATCCACATGGAAGAAGTCAGACAAGTGCAGAGTTCTCTCCTTACCATAGCATGTCCACCACCCTAAGGTTTATGTTTGTATGGTGCCTCTTTCTCATCCTCTCTCCCATACCTCCTTCCAGAGTATGTTCCTTACCCTTGCTAAATGTCCTCCTGGTGGTATAAAAATATAGGCTCTATATAAATGGCATCTCCAGGATCCTCTCTATCCCTAGCATTCCACAAGAATACATTTAATAAGTCAATAGAATAATGCTATGGACTGAATGTTTGTGCCCCTCCCCCATAATTCATATATTAAAATCCTAACCCTTAGTGCAATGATGTCAGGAAGTGAAGCCTTTGGGAGGTAATTAAGTCATGGGGGTGGAGCCTCTCATAAATGGGATTAATGTCCTTATAAAAGGGACTCCTAAGAGCTCTCCTGTGCTCTTTCTATCACGTGAGGATACAATGAGAAGTAGGCAGTCTGCAAACCAGAAGGGGGCCCTCACCAGAACCTGACAATGCTGTCCCCTGGTCTCAGACTTCCAGCTTCCAGAACTGAGAGAAATAAATTTCTGTTGTTTATAAGTTACCCAGACTATGGTATTTTGTTATAGAAGCCCAAATTAAGAAAAGTACTAATCCCATATAGCCATATTCTGGGTCAAAGCTTTATCAAATCGTCTCTAACCATCTGCTTTTCACACCTAGGGATATTCTTCCTACCTTTGCCAGCAAGCAACATTTTAACATATGTCAAATGCAAAGCCTAATTCATTTCTGGCATAGCCTCTGGTTATAAATAGCTTAAAATGTTGTTTATCTTGCCTCTAAATTTTCAGCACGATAAACACAAATTTGAATCCCCAGGGAGCCAACGAGGAGTATGCAAGAGGAAGGAAAAAATGCTACAAAGGGTGAAAAGTAATGTATTCAAGGGAGTTGTCAGCCTGTACATCCAGATAGGCCAAGCTCCACAGCTGAAATCAAAGGACCTGTAGCTCAGTGTGTTTAATAGGCCAGCTGTTTTCCTGATTAAAGCTAAGGAGGTAATTATACTTCCAAGTACATGGATAGAACTTGACTTTACCTCAAACATCAAAAAGTATCCATTCTAAGTATGTAAGATATCTGTGGGCACAGCCTTCCCTAAGAACCTCCAGAATGTGAGCTGAAAAACATTTATACTAGACATTACTTCACAATTCTCTATGTGTTTGTGGTTCTAATTTACAAAGATGGTTTTACTGAGTCAATGTGAATAGGATACATGCTTGGGGTAGCTTCCAGGCAAATATGTCTTTAAAACTGTGCTACTTAGATTCCCTTACCAAGTTCTTTTTTCAATCATCTGTAACATGGGTGGCTAATTTAGGGCTGGGGTCAGTAGAGGGAAATGTTTCTCTCTGTAGGATGCTAACTGGCTTCCATGGAAATAGGCTCATTTATTGTGTACTCCCTAGTACTCAGTTCTAACCAACAAGGCTGGCCAATTCATTTGTAAATATTATATGTATTAAGCATTCTATAACCTCCCTATACTGCCCACAATGGCTCATGCACCCTTCATATTTGTGTCATCTTGTTCCTCTAGAGAATATCCTTCCTCCAGCACATTATGGTAGGTAGTTAAAAAATAGGCCCCATCCATTCTTTTCCATACGGTACACACATGCTGCAACTCACATCAAGAGGTGAAGTCTAATTCCCTCCCCTTGAATCTGGGCTGGCCTTAGTCACTGACTGGCCTCAACCAATAGAAAGTGGAAGAAGCGATGTTCTGGGATTTTGAGTCAAGGTCATAAGAAGCCTTGCAGGCTCTGCCTGGATCACTTAGAACACTCATTCTTGGGACTCTCCCTCTTGGAACCCAATCAACAAGTGAGAAGCACAAGCCACACAAGGGGTCACATGTATATGCTGTGGCCCACAGCCCAGCTGAGCTCTCAGCTGACAGTCTCGACTGCCAGTCATGTCAAGAAGCCATCTTAGTTGTCCTGCTCAGTCCAGCCTTCAGATGACTATAGCCCCAGTCAATGCCTGACTGCAACCACATGTGGGAAGTGCAAGTGAGAACCAACCAGCTGAGCTAAACAGCCCACAGAATGGAAGAAACAATAAGAAGTTTCTTAAGCCACTAAATTTAGGGGCGGTTTGCTACACAGCAATAGATAGCCAGAATACACAGAATCATGGAGCTTGAGACCAGCCTGGGCAACAAAGTGAGACCTTGCCTCTGCAAAAAATAAAAAATAGCTGGGCATGGTGGCATGCACCTGTAGTTCCAACTACTCAGAAGGCTGAGATGGGAGGATTGCTTGAACCCAGGAATCCAGGAGTTTGAGACTGCAGTGAGCTATAATTTGGCCACCGCACTCCAGCCTGGGCTACAGAGCAAGACTCTGTCTCAAAAAAAAAAAAAAAAAATTACCTGCCAGGTTACGTAATATTCCAGCAGAACATCACAAATCATCCCAACTCTGAGCTGGCATCCCCCACTTCCTTCCCTGAAAGAATGATACAAGAGAGAGCAAGGGGTGGCTCTAAGAGGGGCAGATTTTCCTCTGGAAGTGTCTTGAGTATCTGTGAGAAAATGTAGAATGTATAAAACCTGCAGTCTCCTATTGGGATGAAATGTGGTATAAGCCAGAACTATTGAGAGTAGAAGCTAGTTGATAATCTTGCCTGATTTGTATTAAGATTACTTCATCTAAACAAGACCCAATATATGAGTGTTATACTTTTCAAATGAATTTGGGAGTCGTTTTTCTAATTATAAAAGAAACTATTAGGTAAAATAGTAGCACTGCATGGGCATGTAATTACCCATATATCTATAAAAATTCAGTTTATAAGCAACTCTTCAGGGGCATATCTATTGCATAAAACAAGGGGCAACCATATTGTGGTCGGAATACACCATGAAATAAATAAGTGCATCTGTAGAAATGACAACATTCCCATTATGAAACATTTTCCAATCACAGGTTTTGACAGAAAAAATAAATGGAGGGTAGATCCTACTACAAAAAGTATTTCACAGTAAGATAATCATGATTAATCTGTAGGGTCTAAGAGTCTCAGTATTGTCATAACTTGAGTTGATTTTCAACCCAAATTGAAAATCATATAACTTTACTTCCTGTCAAGGCAGTAGTTTTGGTATAAATTATCTGTTAGTGAGATTTAAGAACGTAATATCAGAGGACCTGTCAGATCCAAAACAAACTCAGGACTATTCTGGCAAATGCGAAATGTTTTTATGACACACATAACTTGGGAGAACTGTCAAGGGGAAGGAGATAGAACATTTGGCAAGCTGCTTGTAAGTTACACACAATGCTGGAAATAATGACTTCCCAGGTCAGGGTTGCAAATCAGAAGCCCGGACAAGCACTACACCCACATTTGTTTCTTGTTTGCCAGTGTGTAAAATAATCATTCACTCAAGAACAAAAGGTACCCCAATGCACTCAGCAATCAAACTACTGGAGGCAATCAGCCTATTGATTTATTTATTACACTGAGGCTCTGGGTGCAGAATGTTAAAACTTAATGTTCCAAGTCTCTAAAATACTAACATTCTAAATGGACATTCTGAGCTGGGAAAAAAAAAAGAAGGAAGTAAGGAAAGGCAGCCTAATTAAAACTCCAGGCAAACATCTCAGTAATAATTAATCCTCCTCCTCTTCCCCCCAATTATATGGAGCTGTCTTTACTGAACCTCCACTTCTGCAGTGGACATAAACATCCCTGTGGGGTACCAATGTAGGACTGAAGAACATCCACAAAACATAGGTAGGAAGTGGGACACAGGGCTGAGGTGGCACAGGGCCAGGGAGGGGCACAGCACAGAAGAAAACTAAGCCCCTGCAGGCAATTTGGTTAAATGAAGGGCAAAGGCTAGAACAGCCAGCCACTTGAGAAAGCTGAAGGTGGGTGGGTAGGGTGAAATGGGATTACCAGGGTGAATTCAAGAGATGCTGGAACTCTGGGACCCTGGAAGGATCAATAGCCTTCTTGAGGTTGAAGAGTGGCAGGGAAGCAATTCTGATCTGAACCCTACAACTAAGTCTGGAACGCTCCAGAGAAGGTGCTGTTTATTCAAAGACAGGCTCTGAGTGAGCTTGGCAGGTCTGGGAGATCAGAAAAAAATGAAATTTCTGGCTGCTTCTCTTCACTATTTCCTATTATATGCTCTTTTAAGGACTATCTCACAGTGTTATAATGTACTCCACAAAATATAATTCTAATGTTAAACTTACTACCTGCTGTTGAGATCATTATTTCTAGACCCAAACCAATTAAAAAAAATTCATTCAGTCATTCATGCAACTTTTGCCAGGCACTGTTCTAGGGGCTGAGGTGTAACAGTGGAACAGCAGATGCAGTGGGGGAAGGAGATGCAGGTGACTATAATGTGTTAGGGGCTATAACAAGGGAGAGTCCAGGAGGGGTATCCAGCTCAAGTTCAAGGGATAAGGGAAGTCTTCCAAGATTAATGTCTGAGCTGCAACCTGAAGGATGAGTTCAAGTTAAGCAGCATAAAGCTGAAGCATGGAGATGATTCCAGGCAGAGGGATCAGCATGAGCAAAGGCCTTGAGACACAAAGATCTGCCTCTTTAGCAAAACTGAAAAGCCATGGCCGGGCGCGGTGGCTCACGCCTGTAATCCCAGCACTTTGGGAGGCCGAGGCGGGCAGATCACGAGGTCAGGAGATAGAGACCATCCTGGCTAACACGGTGAAACCCCGTCTCTACTAAAAATACAAAAAATTAGCCGGGCGTGGTGGCAGGTGCCTGTAGTCCCAGCTACTTGGGAGGCTGAGGCAGGAGAATGGCGTGAACCCGGGAGATGGAGCTTGCAGTGAGCCGAGATCGCACCACTGCACTCCAGCCTGGATGACAGAGCGAGACTCCGTTTCAAACAAACAAACAAACAAAACTGAAAAGCCACGTAAGCCTCTGAACCACCCCTTATTTTGAATTATCTGTTCCTTCATTCACCTGTAGAAATGAGAGTTATATTTTGTAATCCTTGGAGGAAAGTGCCTGGTTTCCTCATTTGGCAGCAAACTCACCTCAGCACCTTCCACACTCTGTACACTGAGAGTGAGAAACATCAGCTTGTTGAGTGAGTAGCTGTTTAAAGGTTTAGATCCACTACTCTGTTGGCGGCTTCTCTGGGAGGCTGAGAGAGGTGCCAGAAACACCAAGTACAGTAAGGGTTGCCCTCCTCCCCCTATCCCACTGCCTTTATTCCTCTTCCCTAGGGTATCAGGAAGTCCTTTGTCCTCATGCCATTTCAGGACAAGAGGGGTTTCTTCATTCACTTCATCAGGATGATGAAATGCAGCTGCAGAGTCCTGCCATAGCTGAGGGAGGCTCCGAGGAAGGGGCATCCTCTCTCCTGGCCCTAGAAAAAAACTCCTTATAAGACAGATAAGGGGAACTGGATTAATCTTTCCAGGCAAGCCCTAAGCAGAATGTGTGCATATTCACTGAACTAGATCATTCAGGGGGACAATGACAAGGGCTCAGTTCTCAGACCACCTGGATTATACCACCTATGTGAAATCCAGGCCCTCTCTTCAGTTCGTACAGCCATGACTAAGACAAAAAGAGAATATGCCCAAATCTCCTCCTCCCCAGTACTGCCCTCAACACGTTTTCCAAGAACTTGATCATCTATTCTTTCAGTATGAGTTTCGGGGCTAGACAAGCTGGCTGCAAGCCTAGGTTCAACCCATCGAGGGCTTGTGGTGACCACTGCTGGACTTCTCCTCCTACTCCCTGCCCTCCAGTCACACTGGGAGTCTTGGAGTCCCTTTAAATTCGGCTCCTGTCTCACATCAGGGCTTTCCAGGCACTGCCCCAGACACTTCACCCTACTCCTTGGCCTGGATGACTCCTGCTCATCCTTCAAAATATGCCCAAACCTCCTCTCTGATCCCTTGAGCAGAGTAGCTCCCTATTATTTATGTCCTCTTCATTCTGTTTCCTCCTGGAAACACCCATCGTAATTGGAACTGCTGCATACCCAGCACTGTCTCCGGTACGTGGCAGGCACTCAATGGCTGTTGAATGTATATATAAATGAACAGCACTGCGCATCTTACTAAATCTCTCCCAGCCTCAGTTTACTCAACTATAAAATGTGGCTAATCATACCAACCTGCTATGGTCTGAATATTTGTGTCCCCACCCCCTCAAATTTATATGCTAAAACCCTAACTCCCAATACAGTGGTATTTGGAGGTGAGATCTCTAGATGATAACTGGGTCATGAAGATGGAACCTTTATGATTAAGATTAGTGCCCTGGCCGGGCACAGTAGCTCACACCTGTAAGCCCAGCACTTTGGGAGGCCGAGGTGGGCAGAGCACTTGAGGTCAGGAGTTTGAGACCAGCCTGGCCAATGTGGTGAAATCCCATCTCTACTAAAAATGCAAAAATTAGCGGGGTGTGGTGGCGAGCACTTGTAATCGCAGCTACTCAGGAGGCTGAGGCAGGAGAATTGCTTGGACCTAGGGGGCAGAGGTTGCAGTAAGCTGAGATTGTGCCATTGCATTCTGTCCTGGGCAACAACAGTGAAACTCCGTCTCAAAAAAAAAAGAAAGAAAGAAAAAAAGATTAGTGCCCTTATAAAAGAAAGCCAAGAGAGTTTCCTCCCCATGTGAGGACACAGTAAGAAGGCACCATCTTTGAATCAGAAAGTGAACCCTCACAGGACACCAAATCTGCTGGCACCTTGATCTTGGACTTCCCAGCATCCAGAACTGTGAGGAATAAATTTCTGTTGTTTATAAGCTACGCAGTCTATGGTACTTTATTATGGCAGCTGGAATAGACTAAGACACCATCTCATTGGGCTGCTGTGAAGTTTACATGAATGAATGTCAACAGATAACTTAGCACCATGCTTAGAACATAGTAGGGGTTCAATAAATAGTAGCCACCATAAAAGAAGAATCTTCCCAACAGCACTGTGAAGCAAATTCCACAGGGATTCTCAGCCTCATTTGAAAGAGAGAAAAGTGAGTTCTGAAGAGGTTAAATGATTGCCTGTGACTGCCTCGTGGTCTCCATGCTGGCAAAGGAAACGCAAGGTTCCCAGGATGTCATCCTCTGCATTCCCTCCCTCAAGCAGCCCTCCTCTTCAATCAACATTCAATGACACCTGCCTTGGGTGGGCATAATGCTAGGTGATGGAAAGAAGGATAAACTGGAGACAAGATTTTGACCTTACCGAGTGATGGCTTAGGTAGGTTTCCAGCTGTTTCCCCCAAATCAATTCTTTCCTCTTATGGTAATGAACCCATGACTTTTAGCTAGGCATAATGACAACCAGAATAAAGACTAAATTGCAGGTAAGTGTGGCCATCTGTTCAAGTTCTGACTAAGGGGAGGTGTGTAGAAGGGATGTGTGCAATTTCAGATCATTTCCTTAAAGAGAAAGACCATGTTTGCCTTTCCCTATACCTTCTCCCCTTCCTCCTGGCAGGAATAAGGATGTAAGCTAACTTGGACCAGGAGGCCAAGGGCAACAACCTATTTAGGGTGACGTATCACACTAGGAGGAGGCTGGGTGCCTAAGACCACAAGGTTGCCACACCAGCCCTCTTACACCTGGACTGCTAGGTAAGAGGAGAATAAGCTTCCATCTTGTCTAAGCTTCCTTTCTTTTGGGTTTTTGTTGGAGCAGCTGAACCTGCAACCTAGCCAATTCAGGAGTCCATGGTCCAGCGGGTCAGTACAATATGTTGACCTCTGTGATAGAGGTATATACAAAGGTGCTTTTTTCACCTGCTCTAAGAAAAAGCATGAGCTTCCATGTGTCTAATGGACTGAAGAGTAAAATGATGATGAAGACTCTGGCAGCACATTCAGAGCAAAACCTCCAGCAACTTGAACTGAAACCTTTGTAATATCACTCACTTTCCAGCCCAGCCCTGACTGTGGACCAGAAAGCAAGAATTAGTGAGGACTCAGAGCGTGCCAGGTTCAGGTGCCCAGCACCCATTCTGTGCCTCACCCCAATGGTGCTGAAGTCCAGCCTTTCAAGTTGATTTTGAACACTTAATAACTCTCTCACATGGGAGAAGAGTAGGTAAACAAAGTTTTGACATCTTATAAATGTTGCCATCTCTTATCTGTAGTAAAGGTACAAAGCTCTGCTTTTTATCCTTACTGCAAAAAATAAATGCTGCTGGCAGTATGTGACCTTATTTTATCTGCTACAGTTTACAGATGTTAGAACATACATCAAAGACAGACAGACACAGTGGAAATCTCATCAACTTGTTTTCGCATGTAAGTAGTGAAAATACACTAGCAGGAATAAAGCCTTAGCTCTAAGGTCTTATCTGATTGTGTTGGGGTGTCAAGTGCTTAACCGACATGTTTTTTTGGATTTCTTATGCCAACAAAGAAAGGAAGCAATGGAGGTGCTGAGGGGGCCTTGGCTGCAGGGACAGGCCTGTATTTCACTCTACTTCTCTAAAGGGCATCTATGCCTAGAAAAGTTTTGTCTCATTCTAGGTTTTGTGGGAGATCTCAGAGATATTCAAGAAACATTTGTTTCTGTTTTTGTTTTTTGATGTTGGTACAAAGGAGTGCAATGGTTATGCTCTTCTGCATACCATCTCTATATTAGAGATGGGACACTGGAGTATGTCAGCCACAAATCTGGTCAATGAAACACACCCAAGAACCTGTAAGATTATATGCCAGGTTCCATGGGAAGTGCACTTGACTTTCTCTCCCAAGCAGTGAGTAGACTGAAAGTTTCCAAAGGTGGGGTTTTGTGTTACCATCTCTCTCCACGCAGTTCAGCCCAGTTCAACAACCTGGCCTTACCTATCATGGATCAGGCAGAATTCCAGTGATTCAGGGGGATAAAACAGAAGGCTAAGAGATCATCTCTATCTTCAAAGAGATGATACAGAGATGATGCTTACAATATAAGGAGACAAAATGTCCATATGTGTGTAACAGTGAAGTATAAAACAACAGTAACAAATACCAAGATATGGGAGAGGCAAGGCTAGGCAGGACTATTGAGATTTCATAGAGAAGATGAGAATGGAGCTGGCCTTTATATGGTGAGGTGAGATAATTAAGATATACATGAAATAAATAGACAATTTTTCCAAAAAGCAGGAAAAAAAGTTGGATGGTTGGGAAGGAAGACACCTGGTTGAGCTGGGTTCACTTTCCTTTATCAACTAAACTTCTTGGTAGTCTTATTTACATTATCTCTGCTCTCTTACTCTGTTTTTTTTTTTTTTTGAGATAGAGTCTAGCTCTGTCACCCAGGCTGGAGTGCAGTGGTGCAATCTTGGCTCACCGCAACCTCCGCCTCCTGGGTTCAAGCGGTTCTCCTACCCAGTAGCTGGGATTACAGGCACCTACCACCACATCTGGGTAATTTTTGTATATTTAGTAGAGACGGGGTGTTTCACTGTGTTGACCAAGCTGGTCTCAAACTCCTGATCTTGTGATCTGCCTGCCTCAGCTTGCATTCCTACTCTTAAGGAAAACTACTTTGTCCCCATTCCTGATATGTCTCTCCATGGTAAGGTGGTTTCAGCTGCATCATGTTCTGAATCTTCACCTGACTGATAGGTTTGCAGGGAGAACAAACTCATGTGTAGACCAGCCCTTTGCTCTCTCCTCGGGAATGAACTGCCTGTAGGAAGGATGTTCTTTCTGTCCTCCTCTGCCATAAGATTTATGGAGCAGACCCGCATAGGAAGAGGGTTGTGCTGGTCATCATCACAAGGTGGGTCTAATTCTGGGTCTCAATATTAAGAAGACTTCTTGGATGCAAATATAAAGCACATTCTCTAATATTAGGTTTATCTGGAAAATAAAAGGTGATGCCTTGACCTGTACCCGTCATACTTATTTTCTCTCTTGGTTCAGAACTCTTGGGGGAATCTATGCAATTTATTAAGCACCCCTGAACCCAATACCCATCCCTCTTCATTTCTCAGGCTACTTTAATCTTGCTCCTCACCCCCATACTCCACTAATGCTACTCTCACCATAGTCAATAACTCCTTTGCTGATAAATCTAAAGGACACTTTGTAGTTCTCAATGAATCATACCTCTTTGATTCTAGCACACACGTACGGTGTTTAGCATTTTTATCTCTGAAATCAAAATGTGCCAGTTTACCTGGCAGCACTGATTCTTAATGGGCCATAAAATATTAATGTGTTTTACAATCCATGACATTGTCTATTTCGTGAACTATAGTTCTGTAACACTTGAAAATGACCATTTGTCATACTCCCTTACGACCCCTCCCCCACCACACACCTTGACTTCTGTTATATCCCTCTCTCCTGGTCTCTCCTCCTTTTCTGGAAATCCATCTCGGGCTCCTATAAATTGGTATTCCTTGGGGCTGTGTTCTAGACTTTGTTGCTTCTTTCTCTCCCTCGTCTCCCTGGGTGTTCTCAGCCTCTCCCCTGGCTTCAATTGCCACCTAGACCATGATGTTCCCTAGATTTTCACCTCAAGCCTTGATCTTTCTTCTGAGTCCAGAATCTCCCACTGGCTACTTTCACTCAGCTCAAACCCACAGATCTAAAAATGGAACTGGTCCTCCTTCCTGGGAAACCTGCCCATCATCCAGTGTTGCCCATCCCAGTGAAGTCATCCAAGTCATTCCAGGCTTTTTTCTCCTGCTCATCTTCATATCCAAAATAGATGGCCAAGCTCTGAAAATTTCATACATAAAATACCTCTTGGATCTATTTTTCTTCATTTCCACAGCCATTTAAGTCAGGTTAGGCTACTGTCATCTCTCAGCATGCTCCCTGCCTTTTATCTTGGCTTTTTCTACTCCATTCTCCACACAGCTGCCAGGATGATTTTTCTAAACACAGATGAGTTTCTGTCATTCTTCTGCTTTAAAATCCTCACTGGCTCTCCATTACCCTCAGTCCAAATTCCCTAACAAGTCTCAAGGCCTTGCTCACCTGTTCTACCCTCTTGAGAATGCTATGCTCCAGGTATTTGGAACTACTTTTTTTTTTTTTCCCAGATGTGTCTCCAAAACCTTTGCAGATGCTTCTCCCTATTCCTGGAACACTTACTCTCTAATCTCCCTTTGCAACCCCCCACAGCCACTGCTGTCCCTGGTGGAATTCAGCTCAGACATCAGCTCTCTCAGGAAGCCATCCTTGACTTCTCATAGCCGCTGGATTAGATGCCTGTCATATAAGCTCCCACAGCATCCTGTTCTTAGTCCTATTACAGCTCTTGGCTCTATGTTATAAAATGCATATTTACTTGGCTGTTTCCTGGCTGAGAAGGTTGGCTTTATGAGAGGTGTATCTGTTTGGCCCACTGTTTGTATTTCCAACCTCTAGCACTGTACCTGATGCGTTTCACATCAATGAAAGCATGCGTTTGAACAGAACAATGTTAAGTTAGTCCAGGATATGAAAGACTTAGAATGTCTTAGGCTGGATGACTTTGAGGAGAAGATAGGTCCCCAGTCCAAGTGCAAGAACCTGGGTATCCTTAGGCAGCTACAATGTCGGCCTCACTCAAGAAGAAGGAATTTGCTGACCTGCTCAGAAACACTCCTGTAATTCACTATAATTCAGTTTAATGATAAGCTGAAAATTTACAGACTAATTTAAAAAGAATTAAAGATAATGCATGTTAGAAATTACTCTGTGACATAAATCTGTCCCTAAAAGTATTAAAACTTCACCCAAATATGGGTCAACAGCCTTCCTTGTGGGGACTATGCTGATCATGAGAAATCAAGGCTGGCATCTCTGTCTGAATGGGGACTCAGCCATAAATGGTTAAGTTAAAGCAATGGTTTGGAAACTTCATGACAATTCTCCTTCTGTTCTTCATTACTGCAATTAGATAAAATTAAATTAGCCAAATCTCTCCACCAAGCAAACAGAACACAAATCTTCCACTGAAAGCAGGTGATAATTTTCCAAGATTGCTATGGATGAGAACATTGTTTTTTCCCCCTTCTGATTATTTATAAAAGAATATAAGTGCGTTAGAGAAAATAACTGAAATATGTTGAAAAATGGACAATAAAAATTACAAATAAGTCTACTGTCCAGAAAACTTCAGTTAACATTTTGGTATACTTTCCATCTTTCTTTTACTCATATATGCATTTTGATCTAGTTAAGGTTACTCTATATATAGCTATATATTCTGCTTTTATCCCACTTAAAGTTATATTTGAAACATTTTGCATGCCAGTAAAACTTCTTCATATCATTATCATAACAACTGCCTTAATTTACCACAATTTATGATTCAACCAATCCCTCTGTCTAGACACTATAAAGTTATGAAAATTTCCTTTAGAAAGATCAATAAACTTTCCTAGCTGCCAGTGTCTTCGGGGACTGTAAACCAATTTTTAAAATTACTTAAGCAAACACAGAATTAGGAAAGAGAACTGGTCTCCGCCTCCACCCTCTCTCAATCAGGTAATGTGTGCACTACCTGATACAAGTGGTTTTGCATTTCTGAAATTCTAGATTATTCATATTATAGCTTCTTTCTTTTTTTTTTTTTTTTTTTTTTTTTTTTTGAGACGGAGTCTCGCTCTGTCGCCCAGGCTGGAGTGCAGTGGCGGGATCTCGGCTCACTGCAAGCTCCGCCTCCCGGGTTCACGCCATTCTCCTGCCTCAGCCTCCCAAGTAGCTGGGACTACAGGCGCCCGCCACTACGCCCGGCTAATTTTTTGTATTTTTAGTAGAGACGGGGTTTCACCGTTTTAGCCGGGATGGTCTCGATCTCCTGACCTCGTGATCCGCCCGCCTCGGCCTCCCAAAGTGCTGGGATTACAGGCGTGAGCCACCGCGCCCGGCCTATAGCTTCTTTCTAAAAGTGCGGACTTAGTTTAATTGCTTCAGATGGAACAGCTGTATGAGTATTAATGCTTGGTTGGAGTGTTTAGGGTGACACTGACACATAGCCTTCTCCCTCTGTGCTAAGCATGAGCAAACAACATTATTATATGGCAAGTGGCAGCAATATTTACCTAGCAACTTCAAGTCCCTGGAGCAATGAGGAGCAATGCACCACAGTGATGGCAGTGCAGTGGGGTACCCCCTCCTCTCCATACTCAGCTTACAAGAATCTTGGGAAGCATCTCTGTGAAGGATTTAGCTTCTCCAAACCTCTAAAATAATGAGGGTTTATAGAAAGTTATTGTTGTTTTTGTTGTTGCTTTAGATCTTTGTCAGATAAGCCATTCTGTCTTCATTGCCTGGCCATCCTCCTTTCCAAGAATGCTTAGAGGGAGGGGTTGGGTACTAGATGCAAAAGTAAATGCCACTTTTTTTCTGATCGAATTGGTAAATAACAAAAATAATGCTGTCAAGACATCTATATGAAAAATAATATCATTCTTCTAAATTATATCCTAATAACCAACAAATGTGAAATTTGAAATAATGTTGACTCTCTCAATACCCCTTTGAAAATTAAAACAACATTTTTTTCCACATTTGGAAAGTAGCATATACTCTTAAAGACAACTTGAAAGACAAATATTTAAAAAAATTAAAATATCCTAAAGCCTCACAAACAAGACATGCACTATAACATGTTAGTGAAAACACTTATGGGCTTTTATCTATGAATCAATGTTTTTCCCTCACATAACTGAGATCATATTGCATTTTAAAAATTGTATTTTACTTACTTTGCTTATCATAAGAATTTCTAGTATCGTTTAAAATTTCTTGTGAGTATTGTGAATGGCTATACTCCCATTTCTTTCTCTTTTTAGAGACAGGGTCTTGCTATGATGCCTAGGCTGGAGTGCAGTAGCTATTCACAGGTGTGATCACGGTGCACTACAGCCTCAAAGTCCTAGGCTCAAGTGATCCTCAGCCTTCTGAGGCCTCAGCCTCCTGAGTAGCTGGGGCCATGGGCAGAAGCCACCACACCTGGCTTTCCCAATTCTTTTCAAATGCTCTGAAATACTTGGTCATTTAGAAAACTATTCCTATGTTCTATCTGTGTCTTTTTAAAATATACATTTCATATTTCTTCCTCTAAATCCTAAATTCCTGTCTTGAGCCCTGGTTTCTTTTCCTGATTCCAGACCCACAGGGTCCAAGTCCCTGCTGGACTCTCCACTTGGATACCCTATTGGCCATTAAATGCAACAATGTAACAAGTCAAAATGAAGCTCACCGTTATCTCTCTCACCACCACTTCCTCCTGACTTGATCTTCTACCACTGATGCCTCCATTTCCCCACTCATCAGAATCGCCTCTCTTGCTTTCCTGTCTTTGCTCCCCACATCCTGCTTACAACCTTACAGACTCTGCTTCATGATGCTTTATCCACCTTTCCCTCCCAACTACAGTTGGCAGATTTAGCAAATAAAAATACAAGATACCCAGTTAAAATAGAATTTCAGATAAATGAATAATTTCACTCATGAGCATATCCCATGAAACATTTGGGTAAAATTTATACTAGAAACTATGTATTGTTTACGTGACATTCAAATTAAACTGGGCATGTGGTGTTGTATTTGGCAGCCCTACTCCTGTCTCCATTTTTACTGCCTGCATCTTAACACTCCTTACTTCTACTGTAAGCCATAGTTACCTACCAGCCTCCTGGTCTCTCCGTTCAATCCATTAATCTTTACAAATCACATCTGTAATAGTGCCATGCTTTACTCACCACCTTCAGTGGTTTCCACTGCTGAGTTCCTCATGCTGACCTTTAAACTCATCCATAGACTAGCCCTGATACGCTTCCCAAGCCCCATATCCCACTGCTGCCCCGCAGGGCTCTCAGCTACAGCTCAAGTAGCTGTCTTGTGGTTATGAAACACCCCTGACACTTTCCTTCCCTAGGCCTCAGCTCACATCATCTTTTCCATTTAGAATGCCCTACCTCAACTGTCCAAACCTTGACTCCATTCTCACAGAGCTACTACTCTAGGCCTCTTATACAGATCACTGGGAAGTTGACCCTACCATGTGGTATGTCAAAAAAGTGAAGAATTGGTCATTTCTTGTGGTTTAGGTTAATGTAATAAAAGGTCTCCCACTCAGTGCATCCCTGCCTTAGTTGCTTCCTCACGTTCATCATCTCACCCCATTCCACAAAAAACATCAAGCGGTGACTGCCTAAAGCAATGTTTCTCAAAGTGCAGTCCTCCAACCACATGCGTGGAATCACCTCTGGGGCTAGGGCTATAGATTCAGAACCTGTGGGGAACAACTGGGGCTTGGCATGATGCACAAGTTTCCCAGCTGAGTTTTGTGTCCACTATAGTTGAGAACCACTGGCCTCATGGAAAGGTTGCTCAGTCTACTTTACTCATGCTGGTCCCTGAACATGCCACATGCATTTCCATGTATTCTCTAATACCTCTGGAGGCCCGTGCTATACTTTCCACTTTCAGACTCAGACTACGAAACTCCTACTTGTCCTTCCAAGCCCAGTTCAACTTCTACCTCCTCCATGAACATTTCCCTGCTCACTCCAAGAAGTCTATAGAAAAAGGTACCCACGTTACTTATTGTCACTAGCCATGCATTTGTCTCACCACATGTAACAGAACATTCCTCCAAGACAAGGATTTTCTTTATACCCCCAAAGAGATTAAGACCATGTTATGCTCTGGTGATTGCTAAATAAATAGATGCCGCAGTAATATCCAAATAAGGTCAATGAACACAAGGAAGCTAACTAAGCAAAAATGAGAGTACCTTCCAAATTAGGAACTGTGACAAGGAGGTGTCCTTCTAAAAAAAATAAATAAATAAAATAAAGAATATTTCATCCATGAACAAGCATTTATGCCTTTATGTACGTATAAGTCCTAACTCAGTAGTGACAGGACTGCAAGTAAGATCCATGCCATGGGAACTGGGGCCTGCTCATCAATCTTCCCCATGGCTCTTCCCATCTTCTTTCCTCCTCCACTTCCTCCTCCTCTGGCCCTGTTGACTTCTCCAGTCACTTTCAGAAACTATTCCCTCTCCTTACCTCCTACTTCCCAGAGGTTCTCCCTCCCCTGATATCTCTGGACTCTGGCTCTCCTTCTACTTCTTTATTCAGGGGCTCACCATTTTTCCTGAGCCTCTCTGCTAGTCTCCATGCCTCTGTATTTGTGGAACCCAAATCTTCCTGTCAACCCCCTTTCTAAAACTCTCTCTGGGTCCTTATCCCCACAAGATAGTCTTACTCCGGACTGTGAGGCTCTTCAAAGCCTAACCTCTGCCTTCCTTTCAATTGCATTCCATTCAGAAAATAGCCTCTGGTGCTTTCTTTCCATGTGCTAGGTGCTGGAGATAAGAAATCAAAGAGTCTGGGGCTCACAGGAGAGTGGGAAGTAAACATGCAATTGATGCAGTGTGATAGGCTTAATAGAAACAGAGGAGGCCTTTGAAGACTCTTAACCAGCTAGTGGCAACTCCAGTAAGGAGTTAAGAGTAGAACCAGGACTAGAGTTAAATCTCTAGCTTCAGGACTCTTCACTGCTTGATGCAGCCTGGCCAAAATACTTGTTTGCCCCAAGAAAATTAAAAAAAAAAAAATCCACAAAACAGGAAAACACAAGATGATCCATAAAGAAAACATAAATTGAGTATTAAAATGCAAAACCCATAAACATTACTAAGGGGACACTAAATCACAGTGAAAGGAGATCATATAAATATCGTACTTATAAGATAGAAATGCAGGGAGATACTTAACACACTTATGCACAGCCCTGATGCTAGTCCATGACTCATCTATGTTGGTGAGTCACACAGTAACACAGAATACCAAGATAACTACTTATATGCAGATGCTACTAGTACTACTTGGATAGGGGAAAAATGGTATCTCTACCTTTTAATACTGATTTCTATAAAAAATTAAAAGAAAATTACTTTTTAAAATCTAATGAATAAAATGCACATGTGAAAATCTCGAATTTATTTCAAGAAGCCAAGAAACTAGATTTGAGAAGCCATTAAGTGATTTCTAAGAGAATTCCAAAAGGATATAAGAAGGATTTCATGCAAAATTAAGGCAGAGAGAACAGCAAAGGGAAAGATCATAAGAGATTTCTGATATGTTCTCTGTCCTCAGAGAACATCATCTAGGTTTCTGGGACCACGTTTCAAACTGCAGACTGTGATCAGGTCAGGAAAACAATTTAGTGGGTCATGATGGTCATTTTTTTAATGAAAGAGAACATTATCTAATAGAAAATACCAGGTTGCAACTCACATAGCAAGAGAAGTATCAAATTCTGTGTATAACTGTGTGTGCACTTGTATATGTATTCATTTGCAATGTAATATACATTTCATATGGCAGGTTCCAGTCACAAAAGTTTGAAAAACACTCTTCTTTAAAATACTTTCCTTAGAAGGGCTTTATTTTTAACACAAACTAAACACACTCAGTTATGAGTACTGACCCTTTTCTTCGTTCTTGGCATCTGTGCTAAAATTAAACAGAGAATGTGAGTGGAATATTAGAACTGGAAGAAAGAGGCCAATTAGCAGAATGTAAATGAGTGAACTGATAATAAGAGAACAAAGAGCAAGACAATGAGATGAATGAGCTCTGGCGTTTTTTTCTAAAGGCTCTTGCTTGTGATAACTAAGGATTACTTGCATATTTTCTGTCCTCTTTAAAGCAATGGATATACAGTAGCTGCTCAATAATTGCTCATCCAATGATCCTCTAGAATACCTGCATTCTTTCTATGGCAATGCGAATCATGCAGAGTGATGGCTGTCTTTCCACTGTCAGCCCCCTCCACTTACAGGAGGCTGGACTAATGTTTGGTCCACTGCTATATCCCCACCCCTATGACAGTGCCTGGCAGATAGCAGGTGTTCAATGCATTTTGGTTGGATTGTACTGAAGGGCATCAACAGACAATATAGTTATAATACCCATTTGATGCTTGAACCCCCTTGCAAGAACAAACTGATTTCAGTCCATTGACCAAAAGATATGCTAATTATAGAAAAACAACAAGAACAAAACTCTGAATTTAAGTTTCCAGGGAGCAAACAGCTTAGAATCACTTATGCCTCTTTGTCCAGAGCTCAGGTTGATTCAAAGGACGTGTCTCGACCTTTTAGAGAATAAGAGCCCCATGAAATCTGATAAGTTATTTAGAATATTGAGCTTGGACCTACTTTACAGACTCAATCTGGCTCCTAGAGACAAAGTGGAGAAGCTTTTTCTAGTGTAGACAGCTTGAAGGCAACAACCACTTTGAATCCAAAGCTGCTGAGCTATTTGAGAGATCCTGTCCACATTGCTAACTAGAGCAGGCAGAATGCCTGGGAGGGCCCCAAGTAGAGGCCCTCTAGATTTAGAGACGCAGTCAACAAGGTCAAGTAATTCAACAATAAATCAAGCCCTGGTTTCTTCCTCACAAGAAGCCCAGGATGAAAGGAAATGAGAAGGGGCTAGGAAGCTGTTTGTCTTCCCCACCCCTCTTCAGCTCCATCATGCCTCTATGCCTAAGTCTAGGTGTTCAAACCAACTCCTAGTAATGCAGCTGTGTGTGGTGAGTCATGAAGGGATGCCCTGAGCATGGAAAGGCATATGGTAAGTTATGAGTGAGAAGATGAGTGAAAAATGCCCTTATCAAAGGGTTAAGTCAAATCCAAATTTAAAGGATTGTTCACTAGTTAATAGGTGCTCATCTCAGCCAGGCAAACATAAAAACGTGGCTATGACCACCAGTAGAATTTCCTCCTTATCAAGGAAACTGATGAGTATTAAAGGTAGTGAAAAATGCTCTTTCATATCAGATATACTAAAGCAATGGTTTTTGCCTTCATGAGTCCTATTTATACACAGTTGAATCTCACTTCTCTGTGATAAGGGGGCAAGGAACAGAGTAACTCTGGTCTGCAGGGTTCAGTGGATACCATGGAATCTAGAACACTTATTTTGGCAAACAGTTTCAGCCTCCATTCCCCACCCAATTTCTTTTTGCTTGTTTTTGTTGTTGTTGTTGTTGTTGTTGTTTGTTTGTTTGTTTTGTGAGACAGGGTCTCCTTCTGTCACTCAGGCCTCAGGCTAGAGTGCAGTGATGTGATCACGTCTCACTGCAACCTCCGCTTCTGATCCTCCCACCTAAGTCTCCTGAGTAGCTGGGACCACAAGCATATACCACCATGCCCATCTAATTTTTGTATTTTTTGTGGACACAGGGTTTTGCCATGTTGCCCAGGTTGGTCTCAAATTCGTGGACCCAAGAGATCCACCCGTCTCAGCCACCTGAAGTGCTGGGATTACAGGTATGAGCCACTGCACCCGACCACCCCGCCCAGTTTCTATCCCACTCTCCCTTTGACCATCTGCCAGTGTATGCTGAAGGAATATAAATCATCCTTGGGTTAACCTAAGCCAAATGTAATCAAGAGAGTCAGTTGGCTTAGGACCAAAAAACAAGAAGGAAGCTACATATTGTGTGCTCCAAAGTCAAGCAGGAATAAAGTTGGGGCTTTTCTTTTTCTTTCTTTCTTTCTTTTTTAAAATAATACTATCTATGTCTCTATGTAGTTTGAATCTCAATTCTAACTTCAGAGTAACTTAATCTCCTCCAGCCTCAGTTTTCTAATAAATCATTTGTAAAAGATAAAACACATGTCTGCAATCTCTACCAGTACCTGGCAACTTAATGGGCTAGCATACTACGTTAATTATCATCAGAGGCTGGGTGTGGTGGCTCATGCCTGTAATCCCAGCACTTTGAGAGGCCAAGGCGGGCAGATCACGAGGTCAGGAGATTGAGACCATCCTGGCTAACATGGTGAAACCCCATCTCTACTAAAAACACACACACACACACACACACACACACACACACACACACAAATTAGCTGGGCATGGTGGTGGGTGCATGTAGTCCCAGCTACTCGGGAGGCTGAGGCAGGAGAATGGCGTGAACCTGGAAGGCAGAGCTTGCAGTGAGCCGAGAGCATGCCACTGCACTCCAGCCTGGGCAACAGAGCAAGATTCCGTCTCAAAAAAAAAAAAAAATTATCATCAGAATTGCAGTATTACAAAATGGATTGAAGCAGAGGTTTTGGAGTCAGAGGGACTCTGGAATGCTGATTCCATGGACCTCATCAGCCATGAGGAAATTTCCTTAATCTCTTTGAACTTTAATTCTCTCATCTACAAAATGGGGATAATAAAACCATTTCATAGGGTTACTGTAAGTTTAAAATGAGTATCTGTGTGTCAAATGCTGTGTCAAATGGCACAGAGTAGATGACCATAAATGATAGCTATTATTATGACGATGGCTTGCCCCTTTAAAGATATACCACCAATAAAGAGCTGTTGTCTAGCTAGCTGAGAAAACTAGACACATTTCCTAAAAGCTACTGATGCTCAATGTCCCAGTTACCAACACGTTCCCCCGCATCCCTGCTCCTCCTCCCACATTCTCTATTACTGTGGATGGTGTACCAGCTTCCCTGTTATCCATGTGAGAAAACCTATAGTCCTCGCTGACTCCTCCTTCCCCGCCACAGCAAATCTGTCATTGGGTTGCAGTGATTCTACTTCTTGACTATCTCAACTCCATCTGCTTCTCTCCATCTGCTTGCCACAGTATTAGTTCAGGCCACCATCAACTTACCTCTAGATAACATGCCTTCCACCTGGTCTCCTTACCCCAGCCTTCCCTACTCAATCCACTCCCCAAGCTGCAACTACTGTCATCTTTCTAAAGTACAAATCTCATCATGCCTCTCCCCTGCTTTCAGCTCTTCATTGGATCCCCCAAATAAAATCCCAGTCACCTAATGTGGCTTCCAGAGCCTGCCACGATCTGCCTAGTGCTTCACTCCCTCCCTAGTCTGATATCTTACCATGTCCCCTCTTGTGTTCCAGCCACACTAAATAATTTGTAGTTCCCCAAATGAGTCATGAGTTTCTCCCTCTGAAAGGATTTGACACATGCTATCCCCTCTTTTTAGGATACTTCATCCCTTCTCTTCTCCATGCTAACTCATTCTCAATTTTTAAGTTTTAGCATAGGTACAGGAAGCCTTCCCACTTGAATACTGGGTTAGATGTGCCTCCCACTGTACTGCAAATGTCTGCTTATTTGTTCATCTCCTACACTAGACTGGGAGCCCCTTGAGGATAAAACCCATTTTTCTTATTGAAATACTCCAGATATCAAACAGTGACTGGCTTTGTGCCAAACAGGCTCTCGCCGTTTGATTGTTGGATAGATAAGTGAATATTAGCAATTGGCCCTGCCCTATGAAGCAATCTCTAACTGAAGGTGGCAGTGGCATTGAGCTGCCCAGAAGCTAAGCCAACCCCAGATACCTTTGCCCATCCAGCAAAGCCAACACCTACCTAGAATGGCCACCACCTCATCATCTTGGATCACCTCCAGGGAGCCAGAAACCACAAAGCAGAGGCTGTCAACGCTCTCTCCTGCATGGTAGATGAGGTCCCCTGGGGCACAGTGCACCGTCTGGAACTCCATGGCCAGTGCCCGGAGGCAGCCATCACTGGCCAGCCGGAAGGCCGGGTGCTCCTTGAACACCTTGCGGTTCAGGTGCACGCAGATGTCGGCTCTCATGTCCTTGGGGCAGATCTGCAGGACCTAGCCAGGTACAGAAAAAAACAGTGTGAGGGTCCTCACTGTGGCCTTCAGCCCACATCCTTCAGCACTCTAGGGGGAGGAGCAACATCCACTACGCCAGACTGCACTCTTCTAACCAAAGTCCCTGCGCTTATGGAGCTTATATTCTTATAGATGAGACAGATAGCTTCTAAAAAAAATCTGTGCTGAATGTTCAGGACAGGGGTCTGAGAATCAGCACTGGGAGTAAGTGGGACCCCTGTAGATCAGTGGTCAGAGAAGGCTTCTCTGGGAAGGTGACTTTTTTTTTTTTTTTTTAAGACAGAGTCTTGCTCTGTCTCCCAGGCTGGAGTGCAGTGGCATGATCTCGGCTCACTGCAAGCTCCGCCTCCCAGGTTCACGCCATCCTCCTGCCTCAGCCTCCCGAGTAGCTGGGACTACAGGCGCCCACCACCACACCCAGCTAATTTTTTGTATTTTTAGTAGAGAAGGGGTTTCATCATGTTAGCCAGGATGGTCTCGATCTCCTGACCTCGTGATCCGCCCGCCTCGGCCTCCCAAAGTGCTGGGATTACAGGCGTGAGCCACCACAACCGGCCAGGAAGGTGACGTTTAAGCTGACTCCTGCATAAGTGCAAGAGTGAGCCATGTGAAAGAAGAACATTCCAGCAAGATAGTAAACACAAAGGCCCTAAGAGAACTTGAGCAATAGCCAAAAGGAGTGAGGGCAAAGGGGCAGGAGATGAGGATCAGAGACAACACCAAGTATGAGAGACTTTTAGGTGTAATAAGCCTTGGGTTTTATTCCAAGTATGATAGAGAAATACTGGAGGATTTTTGAGCAGGAGAATGTCATGACCTGACTTACATCTGAAGAAGATCATTGAAGCTACAGAGCGATGTTAGAGAGTGCTGACTATAGGGTGTCAAGAGTCTAGTCAAGGAATCTAGTTAGGTCCCTCCTGCAGCTGTCCAGGTGAGAGGTGAGGGAAACTTTGACTGGGATGCTGGCAGGAGAGCCAGGGGGAAGCAGTTAAATTTAGAAAATATTTTTAATGTAGAAATGACATGATCTACTGATGGACTGAATATAGGGTGTTATTTAAAGACAGATATAAAGTAACATTTACTAAGCACTTGCTGAGTGGCAGGCATTGCTAAACACTTTAGAATCATTCATTCATTTAATACTTATCAAACACATTATGGTATGTCAGGCATCATCCTAGGCTCTGAGGATGAAGCAGCAAAAAATAAAAATAAAAAAAGACAAAAATCCCTGTCCTCATATGAGTTACCATCTAATGGGAAGAGACAAATAGTAAGCAAAATAAATAAAATTTAGTGGTAAGTGCTTAAAGAAAACAATAAAAAAAAAAGGAAAGAAGGATAGGCAAAGTTGAACAGGGTTGTGATTTTACATTTTAAACTGTTACATGCATTTGCTAATTTAATCCTCCCACAAACTGTATGATATAAGTGCTATTATTATATCATTTTACAGATGAGAAAACTGAGACACAAGGAAGATAAATAACTCGCCAAAAATTGCCAGGATATGGCACAGCTGGGGTTTCAAACTAGGTAGCTTGACATTAGAGCCTGGTTTAGATCCCAACCAATTCCTATACTAGGCAGCTGCCCCACAAAAAAGGCTTGTAATTTTATTATCAACATCTCAGCAGCATCTTGGAATTCAAGCAAAAGGAAAACTGTAGGAGGCTATGCAGATCTCATCTTCTGAAAAGATTAAAAATTTACAGGTTTTCCTAGAGGGAGAAATATTTCTCTGGACTAAATGTTTGCAATAAAACATTGCATGGCCCCCTACATAGCAAGCATTAAGTATGGACACCTTCAAGCAAACTTTTCCAGAGAAATCAGAAGTGTTTCTAAAATAATCCATTCTCCCATCCTAGCTTATGAGCAAAGCTAGGGGCATAAAATCAAACATGTTCAGTGATGACGTTTTCCTTGAAGTTCTGGGTACTTTCCCACCTCTGCTTCTCTGCCTTAGCACAAGCCATTTGCCACTATATCTGCTGCTCATCCCCAAATTTGGAAGACTTTCAGCCTCCTTCAAAGTCCAGCTCAAATCTCACCTCACCACTGATGGCTTCACTTATATCCCCACCCCCTCAGGTGCCCCTGTGCTCTCCTTGGAGGTACAGCAGTGGAAAGGGGTCAAAGAGTTGAAATCCCAGCTCCTTCCCCTCCAGGTGACACTTTTCATTTCTCCTATAAAATGCAGACTGTTAACATTGACTTGTGAGAATTAAATGAAATTATATCTACCAGTACACAGCCTGGGACAAAGCCTGGCCCCAGTAGGGGATTCAGTAAGTACAGATGCCCTTGCTCTGTGTGCTTCTGCATTCTTGATCTGGGGTTGCAGGATGCCCATCAAGCGAGCATGCCCTCTGGGAGTACAGACACAGGACAGACCAAGGCAGAGAGGAAAATTCAGAACGCCAATGCTTGGGCAGAGTGCTTGCTAAGGACTTACTTCCATAAGGCTCATTAAAAACAAGACTCCTGCAGAAATGCAGATTTAATTTAGGTCCTCTGCTCTCCAAGCAGATCACTAGGTAATGAGGAGCACTCACACGCCATGTCAAAACTGTGCCCAGTCGTCTGGAACCAAGATTTATTCTCCAGGTGAGTTCACCTTTAAATATGTCATTTGCCCTGAGCTAGACTTTACTCTTCCCCTGGAAGAGGCTGCTAGTGAATGAGGCCTTGGCATGGAGACAATATTTTATTCATGCGCACTGTTCCCAGAGCCAATGGAGAGTACAGTGTGAGCAGGTGAGGGAACCTGGAGAGGAGAAATTGCAGACTGTCACAGCCATCAGTCATTTCCATCGTTCTTTCCATCTATTGGCTCCACACTGAGGTGGGTGGGGTGTCTGGAACTCCTCTCTCTGAGTGCAGTGGGGAGGTCTCAACTCTGAGATCCCACAGCCGGCTCCCAACCCCACCCCGGCCACCTTTCCTACTGCTAGGTTTTGAGAAGAGACCATCCTTGCTCTTCCTTGAAGGTCTCAAAGGCCAAAGGGAGATATCAACGTGGAATCTCCTCCAAGCTAGGCAGGACAAGAGTCCTGAGTAAGAGAAGAGGCGTTAGGATCAGGTAGAACTGGATTCAAGTCCCAGTGTCAGCACTCACTAGATGCGTGAATGTGCAGCAATACTTAGCTCCTCTCCCCATGTCTTCATTTTTTTGAAATTGCATATAGAATTCTTCTGAGGATTCCATGAGCTGTTGTGTGGAATGTCCTGGCATAATGCCTGACACATACAAGTGTTCAATGCCTGTGAGCTCTCATTTTTGATATTGTCATCATAGCAGCAGCAGCAATTTCAGGGAGGCTTTGAAGTCCAGAAGGTCATAGCCAAAAGGGCTTTAGAGGTCACCTAGTCTTAAAATTCATGTTTCCATGAGCTACAGACATAAAAACAGGCTTGGAGAGAGACAAGTGATATGCTCAAAGTCACCAGCTAATAGCTGGTAAAACTGGGGTATCCCAGCACTACCACCCACATGCCCTGGCTCCCTGGTTATCACTGACCATTCTGACCTAGATTGGAGGGGAGGGGCAGATGGGGAGAGGTATAGGATGACAGGACTGGTTCTCTCCCCAGCAGTAGCCTGCCACAAGCTCCTGCCCAGAGGAGCAGCCAGCCCGCTCTGGGCTCCAGAGTGAGTAGCCACAGTTGGGTCCATGGCTATTCCCTCTTCCATCTGGACCAGCACCTGGGGCAAATCCCAAAGCCCTCCAGGAAAGTGAGGGCAGATCTGCAGGACAGATCTACAGGGAGAGGAAGAGAGGGCAAATGCTGACGGTGCTGTCTCCCATGGGCAGCCACCCAGCCAGCCCTACAGTGAGGGTGGGGAAGGGCTTCTTTCCAGACAACCAGACTTACAAAGGCATCCTGGTGCCTGGGAAAAGGAGCCCTAGGGCAGAGAGATCAAAGTTCCTTTCTGCTCCATCAGCTGCCAGGAACCCACAGAACCTACAGGCATTGTTGAGAGAACACAGCAGAAACAATAGGCGTAGTTGGGGCAGGTGGTTGGCAAAAGCAGCGACTAAGTTCAGCTCCAGCCGATACCCTGCCCATCCAAGAAATTAGAATGACTCTGTTTGGACTCATCCTCCTTCTCTCTAGTACATGTTTTAAATTTTTTTAAGTAATAGTAGGAAAAGCACAGGCTTTGAAGTCAGACAAAATGGTGTTCAAATCCTGGCTTTGCCATTCTTTACACTGTGACCAGGGGCAGTTAGTAAAATGAATCGGGCCTCTTGTGCTTACCCCCTTCAAGAAGGATAACAGGGTTGCTGTGGAGGCTAAATGAGACACTAGTGCAAGACCAGGCATGTAGAAGAAGCACAACAAATATCTGTTCTTAATGCATGTTCAAGAAATGGTAGCTGAGGTTGTAGTAGTGGTGTTATGGTTATCACGGCAAATAGTCAGCAAAACCAAAGTAATGTTCAAGTTGAGGATTAAATTCAGTTCAATGTTTCCTTTTAAACTGTCAACTCTCAACTGACAATTCTAATGAAGGAAGACTAGGAACATAAGTAGCTGATCCCAAAGCCAGTTGAATTTGGTTTGCAATGTGTCATTATGTATTTTTACGATCATGTTATCTTTCTGTTTTCCTCATTCTAACGGTCGAAAGAATCAGTATGCCTTGAGTACTTATGGACTGGAGAGAAAAAAGACTTGATAAAGACTGAGAAGCAGAGAATGAATCTCATTGAGAATAGATTTAATCTCAATGGATCTGAGATTAAATCTTTTTTATAGAAAATATGCAAAGAAAATTCATAAGTAAATAATAGGAAGCCCACTGTATGTTTTCTCTATTATTTCCAGTACCACCAAATTTTCATTACTCTATTGAAATGCACCTAGAATAATACAATTCTTAGAGAACAATAGGAATTTATCACCCTCTCCATTTTACAGGTGGGAAAACAAATAACTAGAGAGATGCCTAATTGATGTTCTGGTCAAGTCAACTGATGATTAAGGCACAAACTCTTGATCACTGTTTCCTGGACTTGTCTGATGAATAGGGTTGCCTGGGCACTTGTCAAAAATGCATGGCACGTGTATACCTGTGTAACAAACCTGCATGTTCTGCACATGTACCCCAGAACTTAAATTAAAACAAAAAAAAAGAGTAACTCCTTAAAAAAAAATGCTCCCTCACTTCCCCTAAATTCTCATTCCATAGATCTGGTGAAGGCTGGGATAGTTTTTAAGGGCACTTATTAAAAATGCTCCCTCACCTCCCCCAAGTTCTCATTTCACAGATCTGGGATGGAGGCTAGGATTGTTTTTAGTAATGACATCATGGGATTCTTTCTTTGAGACAGTCTCACTCTGTCACCAAGGCTAGAGTGCAGTGGCATTATCTTGGCTCGCTGCAGCCTCTGCCTCCTGGATTCAAGCAATTCTCCTGCCTCAGCCTCCTGAGTAGTTGGAACTACAGGTGCTGCCACCAAACCCAGCTAATTTTTTGTATCTTTAGTAGAGATGGGGTTTCCCCATGTTGCCAGGCTGGTCTCAAACTCCTGACCTCAAGTGATCCACCCGCCTCGGCCTCCCAAAATGCTGGGATTACAGGCATGAGCCGCTGCATCTGGCCTGACATCATGGGATTCTTATCAGGGTCAAGATGAGGTTGAGATGAGTGAGGCAACAGCCTTGGGCACACAAATTAAGGGAATGCTAAAAAAGTCAGTAATCAAGATAAATCATGGTTTAATTCTAAGGTTAATGCAAAAAAATCCATGATGAACAAAATATCAAAAGTTTGAATAAAGACAAGATCAGTAACAGTGCTGTGCTATCTTCAAGTCTGGGTAAAAAGAAAATTGACAATACTGATCTCCCGTCTCTAGTCATGGCTCTGATTCTTATCATCATCCAAGTTTGGGAAATTCTACCCTGGACAGTTAGACTTCCAGCTCCTCTCTTCTCCAGGAAATACACCCTGCCTTTCTAATTTCTTAATGATGTTTTATTGTTGGTCTTTGAGTAAGGCTGATCTAGAAGCAAACAAGACCTCTGGAGGTAGGACCTGGAATCCCAAAGTACTCAAGTGAATTCTGAGCACAGCCAGGTTTGACATCCACTGTCTTAGGCAAGCCTCAACCCTCCTAGGGAAACCAAAAGACAAATGGTTTCCCTGAGCTCCTCATCCTCCTTACCTTCTCTGTGTCAATGCCTCTGGACATGGACCAAGTGGACACAATATAATCCATTACTCGCTCACTCAATCCTTTTGGCACCTGGTAGAGCTTCAGGAAGTCCCGAACACTGTTGAGCATCTCATGGTATCTGTTGGTGTTGGCATACATCTGTTGGAAAATAGTCGTCACATTCCCGAAGATGGTGGCATAGAGAAGTGCTAGAGGTGAGGAGGAGGAGCAAAAGAAGAAATAACAAGTTAGTGGTCCCTGAGCCAGGGTTCCAGAATGCTCAGCTTGCTCAGAGTAGGCCAATGGCCAGAGCTGTCCCTCCCCAGTGCAGACTGCCCTGACTATTCTCAGGAGACCCTCACACCTGGAGCTTCTGGGGGCATGGATGCAAAGAAAGAGCCTCTTACCACCAAGCTACTAGGAGAAACGTGTGGGAGACAGGGCTAGGGTGCATGTGAGCTGGCATGGCCGGGGCCAGAACTAAGACACAGCAGTGGGGGCTAGGCAGTGGGTTGCGGGGGCGGGGTAAGTTGTACTGCTTAATTTTATACTTTCTGTCATAAAAAGTTTGAGCCATGCCTGAGGTCACTAGTCAAATGTGTGCCTATGTGTTCCACACCAGTCAAAATCCAAACCCATCAGTGAATGAGCTTTATCAAGCTCTGCTACGTGCCAAGCACTGTGCTACCTGCCAAGGACAGGATGGTGAATAAACAGTCAGACCTGGTCCTCACAGAGCAAAAAACGGAGCAGGAATGACAGACCTTGAATAAATAATCACAAATAAATAAATAATAGCAAGTCTGCAGAGGGCAGTGAAGGATGTTATATCCTTGTTTTGCACTTACTGTTAGTGCAACAATCTGCTTCACTGTGATGTGGCTCCTGGGGAAAAACATAGCTTTAATATGGTAAGAATAAAATCAAGTCCCCTTTGAGACATAGCAAGTGTGTACTACATGCTACTACAGCTCCCCCTACATTTGCATTAGGAAGAAGGACCATTATGTTATTACAAAACCCAACCTTCTACCTCTAACTTCCATTGCTCAATGCTGAGCTCAAGAGCCACTGCTTCCAGGAAGTCTTCCTATACACCTTTTGCCCTCCATCTGTCACCACGAGTGTGACCATGATTTACCAGACATATTTCTATAGAACTCATATTACACCATTTTGCAATCACGTGCTTCTTTCTTTGCCTGTTCCCTGACAGTGTGAGTTGCTTGAAGGCTGAAGCCATCTTTTCCTTGCCGTTGTATCCCTAGGATCTAACACTATACCAGTACTTAATAAATATTTGTCAAATTTCACACATTTTTGCTCTGGCTTTTCAAAAGATGAGTTATTATTGATATATAATAAACTGCACATGCTTAAAGTATATAATTTGCTATGTTTTGACATATATACACCAATAAAATCATCACCACTATCAAAATAGTGAACATATCCATCACCACCAAAAGTTGTGTCATGCCTCTTTGTAATCCCTCCCTCCCATCCCCACCTGCTTTCCACCTGCCATCTCCAAAAAACCACTGATCTCTCTTCTGGCAACACAGATTAACCTTCATTTTCTAGAATTTTATATACATGGAATCATACAATATGTACTCTTTTTAACATCTTTTATTAAGATATAATTCATACACCATAAAATGTATCCATTTAAAGTACAAAATTCAATGGTCTTCAGTATATTTACAGAGTTGTGTAACCATCACCGCAATCTAAGTTTAGAATATATTCCTCCGAAAATAAACCCCATACCCATTAACAATCATCCTCCATTTCCTCCCAAGCCCCTTGCCCTAGGCAACTGCTAACCTACTTTCTATCTCTATTGATTTCCATATAAGTTAAAATCACATAATATGCGGTCTTCCATGACTAGCTTTTCACTTAACATAATGTTTTCCAGCTTCACCCCATGTTGTAGCATGTATCAGTACTTCATTCCTTTTTAATTTGAACACTACTCTATTGTGTGGATATTCCACATTTCATTTATCCATTCATCAGTTCATGGGCATTTGGGTTGTTTCTGCTTTTTGGCTATTACAAACATTCATGTGCAAGTTTTTATGTGAACATATTTTCAATTCTTTTGTGTATATACCTAGGAGTGAAATTGCTGGGTCATACGGTTACTAGGTTTAACATGTTGGAGAAATTGCAGAATTGATTTCCAAAGTAACTGCACCACTTTACATTCCTGCCAGCAGTCTATAAGAGTTCCAGTGTCTCAATATCCTCATTAACAATTGTTATTGTGTCTTTTTCAATTATCACCTTTCTAGTGAGTATGACTTGCCATCTCATTGTGGTTTTGATTTGCATTTCCATACAGCTAATGATGTTAAGCTTCTTTTCATGTGCTTATTGGTCATTTATATATCTTCTTTGGAGAAATCAAATCTTTGCCCATTTTTCAATTTTTTTTTTATTGTTGAGTTCTAAGAACCCTTTTATATAATCTGGATACAAGTCCCTTCTCAGATAAATGATTTGAAAATACTTTCTCATATCCCATGGGTTGTGGTATCATTTTTGGTGGTATCATTTACAGCACAAAAGGTTTTAGCTTTGATGTAGCTCATTGTACTTATTTTTTTTCTTTTGTACTCTTCTTTGGTTTATTTGATTCAGCGTATTTTGGGATTCATCCATGTTACTGCATGTATTGTTTAATAATAGTTCATGTCTCTTTTTAAATAAGAAAAGCAAACACTTTACTTGAAATAATTAGAAATTTACAAGAAGCTTTGGGAGACCGAGGCAGGCGGATCACCTGAGGTCAGGAGTTCGAGACCAGCCTGGCCAATATGGTGAAACCCCATCTCTACCAAAAAAAAAAAAAAAAAAAAAAAAAAAAAATATATATATATATATATAAATTTGCCGGGCATGGTGGTGCACACGAGTAGTCCCAGCTATTTGGGAGGCTGAGGCAGGAGAATCGCTTGAACCCAGGAGGCAGAGTTTGCAGTGAGCCAAGATCACACCACTGCACTCCAGCCTGGGTAGCAGAGCAAGACTCCATCTCAAAAAAAAAAAAAAATTCACAAGAAGTTGCCAAGATGGTACAGAAAAATTCTGTGTACCCTTCACCCAGTTTCCCCCATTAATTACATCTTACAGCACAATATCAAGAACAGACTGATATTGCTATAAAGTATATGTATAGTTCTGTGTCATTTTATCACGTGTAGATTCATTTAACCAACACTACATTCAAAATACAGAATTCTTCTATCACCACAGAGATCTCCTTGTGCTTCCCCTTTATGGTCACGCTTCCCTCAGCAATCACAACCTTTTTCTCCTTTATTATAATTATGTCATTTTAAGAATGTTATAAAAGCCAGGCACAGTGGCTCATGCCTGTAATCCCAGCACTTTGGGAGGCCAAGGCGGGCAGATCACTTGAGGCCAGGAGTTTAAGACCAGCCTGGTCAACATGGCAAAGCCCTGTCTCTACTAAAAAAACAAACAAAAAAATTTAGCCAGGCATGGTGGCACATGCCTGTAGTCCCAGCAACTTGGAAGGCTAAGGCACAAGAATCACTTGAACCTGGGAGGTGCATGTTGCGTGAGCCAAGATTGTGCCACTGCACTCCAGCCTGGGTGGGTGACAAAGCGAGACTGTCTCAAAAAGATAAATAAATAAATAAATAATAATAATAATAATAATGTTACAGAAATGGAATCACACAGTATGTGACCTTTTGAGATTGTCTTTTTTAACTCATCAAAATCTTCCAAGTTGTTGCATGTTTCAATAGTTCCTTCCTTTTAGTTGATGAATACTATCCCATTGTATGGATGTACCACAACCATTTCTTCCAAGTAATCTTATTCAGTGTTAGCTGACATACTATGGGAGGCAAAAAAATAAGAGAGAAATGCATGGATCTAGAGATAAGGGAAGGACTGAGGACACAAATCCACCAAAAGAGAGTTATAAACAAGGATCAAAGAGTTCTCTGGAAAAGTACCAGGGAGTGGTGTCAATCTGAACAAAAGGAGCCGGACAAAAAGCAGACACCTGCTCTTCTAAGCTCATAGATAGCCTCATAACAATGCAGTTGAAGGTCCTGTCTCCTCCATGCCAATAGTGACATGAAGTGTGGTCAGAACTAACCATCCTCCCAGGAGATGGGCTAGTTGTCTTTTTCCAGTGAGTCTGACTCTAACTCAACAAGCCTATGTGGGCAGTCCTGCTTCAGCTCTGTTTTCTGATTCACAATGAACCAGGAGTCACAGGAAAAGAGTAGATGTGCCTCTTTTTAGGATGGATCCCAGAAAATTAATTTAATCTTGAGCCTAAAACAATAGTTACACCAAATCAATATAGTAAGAATAGCTCTTTTGTCCATGATCTGAGAGAACCAGGCAGCAGGTCAGACATCAAGCAGGGATGGACAACCATCATTTACAGCTCAGGGCTGCTCTTGTTCTAGGGTGCTTCTGAGGCATTCTGGAAGGTTAAGGGTCCTCAGGAGGCCCTTGCTCAATTACAATTACTATTATGAAATATTATTACATTAAAGGTGGATAATTATTGTCTCAATGCCCCTTCCTTAATTTTTTTTCCTTTTTCTTTTTTTAATAAAATAGCGACATGTTCTCACAATGTTGCCCAGGCTGGTCTCGAACTCCTGGCCTCAAGCAGTCCTCCCACCTCAGCCTCCCAAAGTGCTGGAATTACAGATGTGAGCTACCATGGCCAGCCCCTAATTTTATATGAAGGGGGATTACATGTTTTTCATGCACGTAACGTTTAATTTATATTGGTATCTTATATATAAAGCATTACACCTTAAATACTAAAAACCTAACTGGGAGAGAAGACATGTAAGTCCAGTTGTCACCTGAATAGATATATGAGTGTGATGTAGAGAGGAAGGGAGGGAGATTGTAACACCACTGTCAGGAAACTAAAAAAGCAAGAACGAACCTCCCAGTGCAGAAGGTGTTATGGATGCCTCCAAATGTGGATTCTTTGGGTCCTTCTATTTTCAGAAAGGAAGGAGACCTCCCCCAACCTCAAGGCAAAATGCTGATTTGGAGAAGAAGGGGTTTCTTTCATATTTCAGTGGTTTAGAGTTTATACTATATCACAGCGATTCCTACCCAGAAAGAAAGAAAGAAAAAAGATAGTATTCTCCAGCCCTTAATTAGAAATAGCTATATGGAATTTGGCTGGGGAGGTGGGGGAGGGAGGGAGGGTGTAGCAAAAACACATATCTTTATCAATTTCATTTTCTTAAATTTTTCCTGGAAGCTTCTGAACTGTGCCATTGCCATTTGTGTGAATCTTTCCTGTGAACTGAAAATGACAAGGTTCATAAATTTGGAAAGGAGAGCTTTATTTCTCATAAAGGATTGCAGCTTGCAGGGGGCTGTTCTGACAGGCTGGGAAGCATAGCCTCCAGCCAGAAACCAGAAGCAGACACTTCAAGAGGGAGAAGAATAAGACAAAGATGTATGGTGAATGGGGTGGCCAAATATATATATTAAATAAGCTATAGGAGGGACCATGAATATTCATAAAAAGAGAAACATGCATGTGAACAACTGAGTTTCATGCTTCCCCATGGGACCCATGTTCAAAAAATGGCAGCATTAGCATGAACCAAGGATGGAGTTTTTAAAGCAGAGTACATGAAAACCCTCACTGTGCATCCTCCATAGACTAGCCAGAACCACTCTGTAGTGAGTGGTCTCTTATCAGGAAGGAATCCAGTTCAGCTGTTTTGTGAAAATCACAAAAGGGAGGAGCAGCATCAGTGATTATCAGTGGTGGAGTCTTTCAAACGGGCTGGTTTCTGTTTAGTCTTAGGGAAGAAAGACTAAGGGCGTTTAGTGAGATAGGGGTTATAACAAAGCATGTTTAACCTCTCATCCTATTATGGCCAGGAACTCAGTTTCCAAGGCTTCTCTGAAGTCCCCTTGGCCAAGAGAAGGTCTGTTTAGTCAGTGAAGGGACTTAGAATTTTATTTCTAGTTCTCACTCTTCATCAGCAACCTAGGAAGTTTCTTCACTTATTTAGGTTAGAGCCCCTTATTCCTGCATCTCCTGTCTTCCTCTTCCTTGGTTTACCCCTTTCTCTCTTTTTTATGAGACATCTTCTAATAGCTTTCTGAAAAAAAGGATATATGGGAACAAAGTTTTTTGAGACCTAACATGTCTACTCTTATATTCAATTAATAGCTTAGCTTGGTGTAGAATTCTAAAGTGGAAATCATTTCTCTCTGGATTTTGGAAGCATTTCTCCAGCCTTATCTTGCTATTGAGAAGTCAGAACCAGTAGGATCCCTTGTCCTGCATATTATAACCTGTATTTTTTCTCTCTAGAAACGCTTTCTACAAGGTTCTGAAAATTCGTAATAATGCACCTTTTTGCTATGGTTCCATTTTCATCCATTGTGCTAAACCCTTTCAATCTGGAAATGTATGCACTTCATTTCAAGAAAATTTTCCTGGATTATTTCTTTGATAATTTCTTCCCCTCCATTTCTATATTTTCTTTTCCCTGGCCTCCTGTGATGCAGATGTTGGACTCCTAGATTGATCTCATTTTCTTATTTTTCTCTCTTCCTATTTCTATCATTTTATGAGAAATTTCTTCAGCTTTTGCTCTTTTATTGAATTTTCATTTGATATTATACTTTAATTTCCATGAGATTTTTTTCATTGTCTGAATGTTCCTTTTTAATTGCATTCTGTTTTTTCTTAGATGTAATATCTTCTCCTATTTTCTCAAAGGATATCAATGATAAGCCTATTTTTAAGTTGACTTCTCTTTGCTTAGTCTTTGTTTCCTCATTTACTTATGTGCATGTTTGTCTGCCTTTCTTCTTAGAAATATATGGTAATCCTTAGATATCCACTCGTATTTAAGAGTGGGGCCCTAGAAAACTGATTAAAAGCTTTAAGTGAATGAGTAGACATTGTCAACTGTGAGAATTCACTGTAGACTGACCTGGCTAGAGTTTGTGTTGAAGAATCCATGATGCTACCAACTTTAGGACTGTCCTTTTGCACTGCTCAGAGAAGACTCAATTTGCTGTCAAGAATGCTGGCAATATTCAGCAATTAAGTGAGGGAGAGAAAGGTTGAAGGTTTCAATATTCAGTGTACAAAGTTCCCCTTAATTCTTATTTTCATATACTACCTCTGTTTCACTGTGCCTGTTGTCCCCCAGTCCAGAGACTACCTCTAAAGAATAAACCAGGTTTCATGAATATCAGGAGGCGCAATGACCCAACTGCACAGAATGAGAAAGACATATGTGGGCCTAAATACTTGCTAAGCAAATTTTTAACTGGCCTCCTTTTCCTTAGCTCCACCTTCACCTCCACTTGTAGAGGTACTTATTGTCACTAATAGTTGAGTGGGGGTTCTGGTGAAAATTTTTTGGGAGCTCTGTTGCAAATCAAATTATTTTTCAGATTTCCCTTCTGTCACATTAGGGTTTAGCTTTATGGGGTCTACCAAGTCATTCATTGCTTTCCAGCTTTCAAATTTGTGTTACTGTTATCTCTCCTCTCATTCTTTTTGTCTTTATGGATTTATGTTCATAAAAAAGACTCCTCTTTGCTGTTGCTTTTGTGGGGTTACAGGGGTAATCAGATATAAACATGTGCATTCAGCCAGCCATTACAGCAAAAGCATTATCAATGGCTTGCAAAGGCTTCAGGAATTACTGGCTTTGGCCCGATGTGCCCCATATGAAAGTGAAAAATGGTTTCCAAACCCGCAAAGTCAAGTGCTCAGAGCAAAATAGTAATGATAAATAACACCGCCACCTCAAGGTAGATATTGTCACTATTTAGCAGGTAAGGAAACTGAGGTCCAAGATCAAAGAAATAATGCAATATGTAGCAAGGCCAGAACCCAGGATCTGACTCCAGCCACACACTGTATCCACCAAATCATCCATTCTCAAACTTCAGTGTGTATCAGAATCATGTGGAGAGCCTTTAAACCCATTCTGGGACCTCACCTCCAAAGTAGATTTGGTAGGTCATGAGTGGGCCCTAGAGAACATATATTTCTAACAAGATCCCAGGTGATACTTTTACTGCTAAGAACTTTGAGAAGAGTGGTACGATGATTTTCTAGCTTCTATTGCAATTCCTTCTTGTATTCCAGAATATGTTGTCAAGCTGTATGAACATAAATGTTGGTTTTGACTTGCTCTTCACAGCCAAGGCTGATTGGATTATTCATTGATCACCTTTTCTGGAATAAGGATAGGCAAATTGAAAAGAAAAAGTGACTTACCTATTAAGAGCCACTATATATTTTCTAAATATAGACTTTAACACCCTCCTTTGCTCTCTGTTTCTTTTTCTATCTCCCCTCACTTCAACTCTACTACTCTTACTATCCTGCCACCCTGAGGTTTCATAGATGCCAACAGGCAAAACTGAGAAAGCAGAAGCCCTTTCCAATCTCTGCTTTTAAGCCAGATAGTGCCTGAAATTCAATATCCATTAAGATTACACCTTACTGCTGCTTATTTTAAGGAGACTTAATATGTCTTTTTTGCCAAAAAAGAAAAAAACTCCTGTATGAATTTCCCTTAAAACAAAATTTCCAGTCTTATCATTCTTAATTCCCCATTAGTCATTTGATTAGGATGAACTGCTCATTAAGTCAGGTAGCTGTGCTGTTGCCTATGCAGGGTGCAGGAGGGAGTGTCATTAACACATACATTATTGGCACTGAGCACTCAAAGTGGTCCAGAGACACTCTCTCACTTCCAAGTCAATAATGAGATAGAGCAAATAGAGTCTAAAAAGGCAGAGAAGGAGCTCACAAGTTAAATTTTCTGCTTTCTATGTTAAGGGAAGCCAAGCAAATCCCTATAGGTGACTTCTGCACTCACAACATTTCTCTTGATAAGGAAGGAAAGATGGAGTCTTCAGAGTTATACTCTTCTGGGTTCAAATTCCAGCTCAGCTGCTTAGAACTGTGTGGTCAGAGGCAAATAACTTTACTTCTTTTCCCTCTGTTCCTGTCAATCTAATAAAAAGAGAAATGTCTGCTTGCTTCCCCCTGGGTTGTTGGCAGAATTAAATGAGATACTGTGTGAAATATCCAGAATACTGCGCTGGTACATAGAGACTCCTGATGTTATTTACTCTTTCAGTTAATCATCCTAGAGTCAACTATCATGACAGTTGACACACATTGGACAGCATGTCATGAAGACAGTAACCTAGAACAGTAACCTGAATTGAATTAAAAGACTGCTGCCTTTTAATTGCACAGACTCAAAATTTATCATTGCCAAACAATATTGGGGTCCAGAAGAGAGATGTTTTAAACTAAGCTCATCATGCACAGAGGCCTTCAAAGGAATCTCTAAAATCCATAAACACTAAGAACTTTGATGTATTAGCTGAAATACTGACTACATATTTAGTGATTTTGAACGAAGCTATTCATGGATGAGGAGGGGCTGAAGAGTAAGTGTAGACAAGGGGAGAGTGTGAGGGGGTAGGGAATAAGACCTGAGAACCAGACTTAGTCCTTATTCAATTTCATCCAGCCCATGTAAGAGCAACACATCTAATTTTGTTAATGTAGTTTTTGGTCTTTACTGTTGTTGTTGCTTTTGTTTCTTCTAATGTGATATTGATGGAGTAAGTGTGAGGATAGTGTTTATATTGGCATGGCAACTGGCAACTAACTTTTAAATTATTTCCTGTAACTTAAAAGCCATAGCCAAGAAACTCACTGCCTGGGCAGAAATGGGTAGTGATATGGTTTGGCTGTGTCCTCACCCAAATCTCATCTTGAATTGCAGCTACCATAATTCCCATGTGTTGTGGGACGGACCTGGTGAAGGGTAACTGAATCATGGGGGTGGGTCTTTCCCACGTTGTTCTTGTGATAGTGAATAAGTCTCATGAGATCCGATGGTTTTATAAATGGGAGTTTCCCCACACAAGTTTTCTCTCTTGTCTGCCACCATGTAAGATGTGCCTTTTGCCTTCCACCATGATTGTGAGGCCTCCCCAGCCACACGGAACTGTGAGTGCATTAAACCACTTTTTTTCATAAATTACCCAGTCTCAGGTATGTCTTTATTGGCAGCATGAAAATGGACCAATACAAGTAGTAACAATGGGAAGAAAAAGAAGAATCTACTCATTGCCATGCTAGCAGATCAATCCAGCATAGGAGGAGGACGCACAGGAGAATGCTGAGTCTATGCTTTGGAGACAAGAGATGCAATTTGGAATACTGGCTCCACTACCCACTTCAGGATAATCATTTACTCTCTTTAAATTTCTTTGTATATAATAAATAATTACCTTATATTTTTTAATAAGTGGGATAATATATAAAATGCTTATCACAGTACCTTGCACATAATACATGCTCAATAAGTAATAATAATAATTAACAGCAGGATAATTAAAGACTAAAGAATTTTCTCTAAAGTTAATTATTTCCTGGAAATGTTACCTCACTAAGTTTATCATCAGATGTCTTAATTCAACAAACATTAAATACTCAGATATGTCATGTCATCTGCTGTTCTGGGAAGCAGCATGGTATAGTAAAAATAACTCAGGTTCTGATGAGAAAGCAGCACTGGAATGGAATTCATGGCCCTGTCACTAAGTCAAGTCATGAGAGCCTCAGTTTTCTCATTTATGAAAGGGGAAAGATAATCCTCACTTCTTAGGGTGGCTGGGAATAGTCAATTAATTAACATGACAAATGTCAAACACAATGCTGGATGGAACAGATTCACAGTAAATCTTAGTTTTCTTTCCTGAACCACCCAGTGTTCATATTTTTCCATCAATCATCTCTGGATTCTGGTTTCTTCAGCTCTTGGCTTTGAATGATTATACTCCTACTGTGATAAGTTGGCCTGTGCTTTTCCTTAAATAGAAGAGTTTCTGGAGTGTGGAAATTTTGGTGGAGTCACTTCAGAGGCATCTTCCTCTGCATTCAGTGGATGCATTCAATTTGTTAATGCTGTTGACAAGCTACTGAAGAGACTGTCTCAAAGAGGTGAGTTTGCTCTGGTTCAATGATCCAAGGGCTTCTCAGAGTGTGATGCTGGAACAGCAGCATCACAACATCTGGGCATTTGGTAGAAATGCAAATTCTCAGGCCTACCCCAGACCTACTGGATCAGAATCTCTGGGGGTGAGACCGAGAAATTTGTTCTTTTCAAATTCTGCAGGTGGTTCTGAGGCATGTTAAAGTTTGAGAAACACTGGTTTATGCTATACCAATAAATACTCAGTACTTCCCTAATAAGGTTTTAGTATAATGCCCTCCCTCAAGGAGGAAGGATGGCCAGATGAACAAAAAAAGATACTGGGCCATATTGAGAATGCATAAGGAGACTCTGAAGGTAGTTAACCTTACTCTACTGGACAGGACAATGGCCATGAAGCCAGGTGAGAATGAGAGAACCATCCCACAGATTAGCAACACCTTGATGGAAATAACTACACTCAGCTCTGAATTTCCTGCCAGCGGAACCGAGTAGCCCCATTTTTCTAAGAGATGGTTTAATTATTTTTTTCTCTTTCCCCACTTCTTACTTAGCCCTTTACAAATGTAAAAATACCCTTTTATCACCACCGCCCCACTCCACCAGATACTCTCTACAGGGCTAGTTCACCTAACTCCTGAAGAGTTAACAGTCAATTTAGAGACTGAACCATGTCCACTACAGAACTTTCACCCACCAGGCCACCAGGAGGTTGCCTTGAGATAGCAGCTGATTTCTATGAACTCCCCCTACCAGGAGACTGACTCAAGATATGAAACTCCATCCCACCTGGGGCGCTTTTGGCCTAGTCCTGCCCACGAAGGTGCCAGCAGTCACCAGCTAAACCACCCAGTAGATAAGGCACCGGAGGTAACACACAGATCCCACACCCTTGCTCACTTCCTCCCCTGCCTTTTTAAAGTGTCTGATTTCTGTTCCAAAAGCAAAGTGGTATATTTAAAGGCGGGACATCTGTGCTTCTTCCTCTAAGCCAGCTTTGGAAATAAGTCACTTTCTTTTTACCAGATCTCACTCTTGTTAATCAGACTCTGCAAGCGGCGAGCGATTAACCTGCATTTCGGTTACACCAGCACTATCCCCTCATTTCTCTTCAACTCATCAGCCATTGCCATAGGCATAGAAAGAAGCTCCCCGAAACAGAGAATATAAAACAGATACATTCCCTATTTTATAACAAGAGAAGCCTAAAAACTCTCATTTAATAACCTGCTAAGAATAGCATGAATTCCTACACCACATTCAAACTCGGCCGTGTTGGTGAATGTCACTTAACAAGCACAGTTCTTACAGGGGAGACAGAAGGTTATTTTCAGCTACTTCTCATCTGTCGAATAAAACAACAGCTCCTGCTCCACGGTAACCCATTAACAATGCAGTCTGTGCCACCTCATTTCAACCAGTGTTTTAATAGCACCACAGATAAAAGCACAGCAATTTCCATAGGCAATTACTTCTGCAAATGAATCAAGAAGGTCAGAAACAGGTTGAAAAGGTCTTCAGATAATTTGCTACTTTTACTTATTTTGAGCTCGCTGAGTTCTTGATTGCAAAGAGACAACCATTTAGTTACAACGCACATGGCTAAAGGTAGACTGGCTTGCAGGTTTGCAAACCCAGGTCTTGCTTTACTTCCTAATGAGAGCTCTAAGTTTATTTTTCTCCAATATGAGTCATCAAGAGGAATCTAATTAACAAAGCCATTTAAAATAACACATAATTTTAAAAGTCATTTAAACAAGCATGTTAATCTTAACTAGGCCCATTTTCCAATAGTAGTTACAGCTACTTTTAAGTTAGAAACTCTCACAAAACTCGACGTTTATTTTTCTTCTAAATCTCAAAACAAAAATAGAAGTGAAAAACTTTTCAGAAGCCACTACTATCACATTGAAACATCATAATAATTGGACAGACAGTGGCTTTTAAAGAAATACTTCTTTCAATAATAAAAATAAATTAAAATCACCTTGCTAATTTTTGCCAACTCTAATCTCAGTACCTCTAGCATTTGTTGATTTTCCATACTGAATAACCATGAGTCTCTTGGTTTATCAAAGGCAGAATTGGAATCCTTTAGTTGCTAAGTGACACTGTAAGTTATAGTGCCTCTTCTCCACATTGCCTCCAAAATAATAATTACCCAAAATAATAGATCCCCCAATCTTCTACCACATGGGATGCCAAGAAGTAGAGAGTTGTGAGCCTATCATATCTGACAAAACTATTCATTTTGTATAAGTCAGTGGTCCTAATCCTGACTTTGTTGCTGAGGACAAGTGACAAGTGACTTTCACTCTTTGGGCATAGAAGGCCCAAATATTTGTTTAATCAATGAATAAATGAATAATAACAACAACTGATGCTTATATAGCTCTTATCATGTATGAGTCATTGTTCTGACTACTTTGCATACATAATTTATCTTAATGGTAGATTCATGATATCCATTTCACTGGTAAAGAATCTAGTCAAAAATGTTTAAGTGACTTCCCCAAAGTCACCCAGCCAGTAACAGATGGAAGAAAACACCCAGGCAGGTTGGCTTTGAAACTAGTCAACCATTGCATCAAATGCCTCTCTAAACAATAAACACACATGTCAACTGTGTGCTAGATACTGTCCTAATGCTTACGTATACTGACTCATTTAAATCTCTTAGCAGGCCTATGAGATAGGGACTATCATTAGTCTCATTTGCACATGGGACACAGAGAGTTTAAGTAACTTGGCCAAAGTCACATAGTTAGTAAGCATACATAGAGCTAGATTCAAACCTAGGAAGTTTGGATACAAAATCTATGCCCTGAACCTTTGTACCAGTGCTTCTCAGCCTCAGCAGCATTGACATTTGTGGCCAATTACTTGGTGTGGGACACTGTGTTGTGCATTGCAGCATGTTTAGGGACATCCCTGGCCTCTATCTACTAGATGCTAGCAGCACATCCCAGTTGTGAAATGAAGGTGTCTCCAGACATTGATGGCCATGCATTTCTTAGAAGGCAAATTCGTCCTGATTTGAGAACTACTGATCTATGCTCTGCTGCTTTTCCTTGAGTAAACAAACTTGTCAAATGAGGAAGTCAGACAAGAAGCAGGACTCCTTGGGGCTCAAAGGGGGCCTAAACTCCCTTTGAGCTCTAATATATGATTATGTATTTAGAAAACTTGAAATGGATGATATTATACAGGGTTTATTCATGATGATAAAAACTTGGCTTTTCTCATCTTCTTGGTGCTAGAAAGACAATTTCCAGCCTAATAGTGATGTCCATAACTGACTTTAAAGACGTCTTATAAGCCTACATATTTCTCATTCACAAAGATTTTAATCAGGTAGGAAATAATTCTCTTGCCATTACCCACATCATGAATCTCTGCTGTTTCCCTTCTACCAAATCTACTGCATCATAGTAATCAGAGCTTTGCAGTCACGCTGACTATCCCGACCCTGCTACTTACTTGCTGTGTGACTTGGAGCAAAACACTTAGTGTGAGTTCAGTTTTCCTCATCTGTAAAAAGGAGATAATACCATCTGCCTTATAGTAAGATTTTGGTGAGGATTAAATTTGATGATATATATAAAGTGCCCCATGTAGTATGTGTTCAACACATGTCAGTTTTTTTGCTATGTTATTACTATTCTAGATATAGCTCAAAACATAATTCTTCCAAAAGCTTCCCAGAACCAACACATAAGACTTCCCCACTCTATCCCTAAATGTAGCTCATATGTGGTAACCAACAACACCCACATGGGCCCTATCTACCTGGAACGACAATGACTATTGTTCTCAACTAGGGGAATATTAGAATCACCAGAAAAGCTTTCTAAAAATTATGTTTTCTCAGGTTTACCTATAGCCAGCAGTGTGATGAGAAGTGGGTGAGCAAGTAGATTTTTTTAAACTTCTCATAACTCTTACAGGCACCATTACCTCATCCACGTCTGTGAGCCTCTAATTTAGTTTGCAAGTAACCATTGGATGCCTTATTTTTTAAAAGTCTTGTTAAGTTAAAGTATTTTAATATGTTTAAGGAAAAGAGTGTAATGTCTTTATGAAACAGATTATAAAACAATAGGCTTAGCCAAAGATGTGCTTAATGCTAACTGGGTACTAATGATTTAAAAAAAAATAGGAGGAAGAGTTAATTGAAGAAATTAGTAACTAAGTTGATACAGCAACTTTTTCCTAGTTGAGAGGAAATAATCATAGGCTAGAGTCAGATTTTGCAGAGTCTAGGAAAATATGACATTCTTTATTTTTCCCTTTTTCTTACTTGAAAGAGGAAGGATAAAGGAAAAATGTGTAGAGAAAAAGGTGATTTTAAGCCTTGAACTCAGAAAGGTCATTATTCTTCAGGAAGAGAGATGGCTTAGGAAGACTGGCCAACTGTCAGGAGGAGGGAAGCGAGCCTTCACATGGACTCTGAACAGCCAAGATTTGAGTGTCTGCCGTGACACCTCAGACCAGCTTCCTGCCCTGAATTACTGCGGCTCCAAGGCAATCACGGCTATCCTGAGAGTAGAGAGAAACCTGAAAATTAAGCTAAGCAGTGACTAGTAGTTAGAAAAAAAGTTTAGGAAAAAAAAAACAGCATTCAATTTGTATTTAGCTGTTTGATGGGGTATTTATACACTATGATAAACTTGTCAAAAAAAATAACCATTAGAAATCATTGGCTTCCACTCTTCTGTTAATAGTGTTGTTGTTGATGAAATTCTCTGGGTTTTCCATTCACCACAGCACCACCACAGAACAGTTGACTTGGTGTAGCTACCAAGACTGTAACAGTGCTTAGGAAAAAATAATCATCCTAGTCTAGTTCACAAAAAGGGATTTTGGCTTCTGAATCGTTCTTCTGGATTGCTTGCTCTGGGCGAAGCCAGTGGTCATGCCATGAAGACACTCAACCAGCCCCAAGGAGATGCACATCATGTGAGGGAGCCATCTTGGAAGTGGCTCCTCCAGCCAAATCGTGCCTTCAGATAACAGAAGCAATAGCCAATATCTGACTGCAACCGGGCTGCTCCCAAATTCTTCATCCATGGAAGCCAGAAAGATAAATTATTGTTGTTGTTTTAAGCCTCTACATTTTGGGGTAGTTTTCACAGAGGAATAGATAACTCATACAGAAATGTTATGTCTGTTTCAACTTAAACATCAGCATTTTATTAACTTGAGAACTAATTTGAGAAAACATTTTATAATTACCTTAAGGAGCATGTAGTAGACAGAAAACAATAGCTACCCAAAGATGTCCACATCCTTTTAATAATCCTAATTCCTAGAACCTATGACTATGTTACTTTACAGGGTAGAAGGAACTTTGTGGCCGGGTGCGGTGGGTCATGTCTGTAATCCCAGCACTTTGGGAGGCTGAGGCGGGTGGATCATGAGGTCAGGAGTTCAAGACCAGCCTGGCCAACATGGTGAAACCCTGTCTCTACTAAAAATACAAAAATTAGCCAGGCATGGTGGCACACACCTGTAGTCTCAGCTTCTCAGGAGCATGAAGCAGGAGAATTGCTTGAACCCAGGAGGCAGAGGTTGCAGTGAGCCGAGATCATGTCACTACACTCCAGCCTGGGCGACAGAGAGAGACTCTGTCTCAAAAAACAAAACAAAACAGAAAGGAACTTTGCGGATTGATTAAGGATCTTGGGATGAGAAGATTACTGTGGATTATCCAGATGGATCAAAAGTAATCACAAAGATCTTTACAATGGGGAGGGGAAAAAGGTCAAAGGCAGAAGTAGGAGATATGATGACTGAAGCAAGAGGCTGGAATGATGTGAGGATGGTGACACAAGACAAGGAATATAGGTGGCCTCTAGATGCTGAGAAAGACCAGGGGACAGATTCTTCCCCTGAAGCCTCCAGTAGGAGCACAGCCCTGCTGACACTTTGATTTTAGACTTTTGACCTCCGGAACTATAAGGGAATAAATTTGTGTTGTTTTAAGCCACCAAGTTCGTGTTAATCTATTATAGCGCAATAGGAAACCAATGCAGAGCACTTAAATCATACCATCTTAAGTTTTTCAAATCATACTAATGGGTAATGAAAAATGATCTGGGAGCTGTGAGATTTCAGGTGAATCACTAGAGTGCTTTGAACCTCACCTTGTTTTACCTATAAACTGATGTTTGATTACAATCATCTTGGTGGCCTACCAAAGGCCCCACCTTACGATACCATCACACTGGGGATTAGGGCTTTGACATATGAATTGGGGAAGGGAGATACATAATGGAACTGATATCACCATTTAGTCCATAGCAAAGAGTAATAATAAAAATTAGACCAACTTTCAGTTGGTATATTAATATTTTAAAATTCTCTGTAGAGAATCCACTCATGTAGACCATTCCCACCCCATCCCTCACTTGGGATGCCCCTGATCCTCCCTGGTTAGAACAACAGGTCAGCGTATGGTGTCAGAATAATAAAGTTTTTTCATTTCTAGACCTCACCATGTATCACCTATAAACTGCAGTTTGGCCACGATCATCTTGGTGGTCCATGCAGCAACATCTGTAGTGGGTGAGCACATATTTGCTACACAGGAGAGCCAGGAGGAGTGAAACTTAGGGGGAAACTAGAAGGAATGTGGAGAAGTGGGGTGGATTTCACAACTGGCTATTTAATCAGCAGCAGTACACTCCAGCTAAAAAATTGCAGATCATATGCCCTCTTTGGAAATTGAAGCTGTACGACTATTTAATTTGAAATGGAGTAGGCTTTTGGACAACCACTTGGTCCAATAGATTAACTCCAGCTATTTATTTATTTATTTATTTATTTATTTATTTATTTATTTATTTATTTAAAGAGATGGGGTCTTACTCTGTCACCCAGGCTGGAGTGTAGTGGCATGATCATAGCTCATTGCAGCCTCGAACTCCGTGGCTCAAGTAATCCTCCCACCTCAGCCTCCTGAGTTCCTGGGGCTACAGGTATGAGCCACTGTGCCCAGCTCTATCTCTTCATTTATTTCACAAACATATGCAAGCCTCTCCCTTGGGTGGGGAATGGCACTAGCTCTCAGATGCAATGTCCAATAGGACCTCATCCCAGATGAATAGACAAAGAGATGTGGTATGGTCAGGGTGCTGTGAAGGGGTGCCCAGTCTAGACTGGGGTGATGGGGCTGGGCAGGGCATGCATTGGGCCCAGAGAAAAATTTTGAAAGGTAAATGGGAATTAGAGGTATGGCAGGGAAGTGGAGAAGGCAGACTCTCAAGCAAAAGCAACTGATTCAGAGCCCTGGGATGTGGGATATGGATGGAGAGTAGTGAGAGATGAGGATGGAGAGGCAGGCAGGGGCCAGGCGGGAAGCCTTATACCAGGCTAAGACACTTAGATTTGCCCATGAAACCATTTTCAGAGCTTCATTAAATATAATGAGAGTACAGGGACTGGCTTTTGCTAAAGAATTTATACCGACTCAATTATTTCCACCATTTAACTCTTATTGCCTGGGTTAAATCCTGGCAGAGTAATGAAATCACTTAGAAGGTCCTATGCTTGGTTGAATGCTCCACTGTTGCTGTCTTAAAATTCCTAACAATTTTCAAGCAAGAGGACCCACATTTTTATTTTGCACTGGGTTTCACAAAATTATGCTGCTGATTCTGCATGCTTTTCACACCCCATCTGTACCCAATGTTCATATGTTGTTCCCTCCACATAAAAACTCTCATCTGCCCATTTCTCTGTGCTAGAACCTGATCCCCCTTTCAAGACCCAGCTCAAATGCCATCAAGCCCTTGTCAGTCTCTCCAAGGTTCTCCTCTGGGCTCCCAAAGTACTTTGCTTTCACTTCTGTCTCAACACGTCACACACTACCTGAAATGTAGTTATGTGCAAACATGCCTTATTCCCCCTACCAGAAGGGAAAACAAGCCACTCTAGGATCGGGGTGGGAGGGTAGCTTTTCACTTCTGCTGTTCCTCAATGCCTGACACAGAGTAAACTCTCAATACATTATTGATGAACTGAATTTTACTCCCTGTATTACACAATGATTTCTTGGCCACCAGTGATTCCTCTCTGTGTGAGCTGCTCCTGGATCAGCTCCAGTCCTGCTGACTATGTCCATGGTAACTCTGGGCCACCTCAGAAACTATGCTAATGTAAAAATGGGTACCAGGCAGCCAATTACTTCAGGAGAGTGAAATGGCTTTGTAAGTGGTCATACATGTGAAGAGTTATCTGAGTGAAAAAAAAACAACCCAAATTTGAAAGTCAATAAGTCAGTGAAATGTTCCACAAAAGAGAACTGATTCCCAGTTGTGCAGAAAATTGCTCTCAAAGTAAGTGGTACACTGTAAGAAGACCCAAGAGCCTTCCTGAGGTTGAAGACTCACAGAAGTAGCCAGTGGAACTCAGCTGTAACTGTCTTTCCCTGAGGCCCATATTGCATTTAGGAAAGTCCCAAGTACAATGTGCTCTCTCCCTGTGTTTTTCTTACAGCACATGTTAATCCATTTGGACCTCTTTCTTGCTTAAAACCCTCCAAATTCTCTCTTACTAGAGAACAGAGTCCAAATGTCTTAATACAAAATAGCAAACATATATTGAGTGCCTTCTTTATGCCAAGCACTATGCCAAGTATTTTAAGAGAGATTATGTCATTAAATCCTCACAACAATCCTATATAGAAGGTGCTATTATTATCATCTCTATTTTAAATATTTGGAAACTGAAATAGAGAGAGGTCAAGTAAATTCCCCCAAATCACACAGCAACCAAGTGGTAGAGCCAAGATTTGAACCCAGGCAGTCTGAGGCCTGAGCGCTTTATTACTGTACTGGCCCTTGCCTACCTAGACTGCCTCATTTTTCACACCTCTCCCCTGTCTCCTGCCATTCACTGAAGCCCATCTGAACTGTGCACCATGCTCCAAATGTGCCCATTTTTCTTGCTCAGGCTTTTTTACTTGTTGTTGTTGTTGTTGTAGAGACAAGGTCTCACTATATTGCTCAGTCTGGTCTTGAACTCCTGGCCTCAAGCAATCCTCCCACCTTGGCCTCCCAAAGTGTTGAGACTATACACATGAGCCACTATACCCCGACCTCTTGCTCAGGTTTCTAAACCTTTGTTCCCAGGATGTCCATTATCCTAGTAAATGTGACCCCCCCTTAAATCTGGGTTCCAAATTTATTGGTCTTAGGACTCCTTTCCACTTTTAAGAGATTGAGACCCTCAGGTTTAATTTCTAATATTATAAATATCAATAGATATAATCTTATGTAGATTATATATAGATGTAGACATCTATGTAGATATAATCTACATAAGATTATGTCTACAGATATATATCTATTGATATTTGTAATATTAGAAATTAAACCTGAGAAATTTTTAGAATATGTGTTTATTCACTTAAAAATCCCCTCACTGCATGTTAACATAGATAACATAGTTTATGGAAATAATGATACTGTCCAAAATAGAAAATAATGTGTAAAAGAAATGTTGTTGCTTTACATTGCCAAATCTTTTTAATGTCTGACTTAATAGATGACAACTAGATTCTTATACCTGCTTCTACACTCAATCTAATGTGACATGTTGTTTGGGTTGAAGTATATGAAGAAAATCCAGCCTTACACAGACATGTAGTTGGAAAAGGGAGGAGCATTTTAATAGCCTTTTCAGGTAACTAGGGATAGTCTTCTTTGGTACTATCCTAGAATTTAACAAGTGATAATACCTTACAGTTTAGTTGTAGTGTGAAATCTGAAACCGTATCAATGAACTTTTCATACTCTTATTTCATGCTCATTGGTCTTAGATTTTGAATGGCTCTTTTACCCAGCATTATCTTGTAATATCATGCATTGGTCATTTGGAAAATATAGATTTGTTGACTTTTACAGATCTTTTGAAGAGTCAATACATTTTATTAAGCATTTTAAAAATCACATTTATTAAAATCACCAATCTTATAAAAAGTCTTTTTATTGGAAACTATTGAACTCACAGTGGCAGATAACAGTTTTTCATCACTCTAATTTTTGCTTGAAAGCCTTAATTTTATCATTGGCAACAAATACTTTCCATTGTTTTCCTTGAAGTGATGGGTTCACCTCATTCATTTTCAAGAAAATGTTCTGCCAAATACCCAAATCTGAATAACCATAGTTTGAGAGCCATTCTTTCAAGTAAAAATGGTGTTCTATGAAGACAACAGCTACGTCAGCTTGGAATACAATTGCACAAATGCTTTTCCTTAAAACAACCTTGTATTTCAATATGCAGAAGTGCTGGTCTATAGTTCTCATTTTGTCCCACAGAATATTAAGCTATATTCAGGGATTGGGATTTCACAAATTAATAATTTATATTATGTTATTAAGTGAAACTGGCTTTAAAAAATATATGAGTACATGGCAGTGAAGAATACAGTGACTACTAATACAGTTTGAAACTGCCTTAATTCATGCTCAGGTGTCCACCATTTCACACACCTTTGCTTTTGTACTATCAGTGTAAATATCAATGCAGTGAAACAGGCAAATATCCTAGTATTATAAAAATAGTTTTGACCTCATGAAGTGTCTGAAAAGGCCTGAGACCACCATAGATCCACAAATCACACTTTGAGAACGGTTGCCCTGCATTCCTCTTTAAAGACAATTCAAATGTCACTTTCTCTTCTTCTGTGCCACCAATGTACCTTGTGTAAATTTCTGGTATTAGTAAATACAATATTTTATTACAGACAATTGATTATATTCTCTTTCTTACAGATACCAGTAACTTCAGGGCAGAAACTCACATGGTGTTCATGCAAAGTGTGCGTATAGGCATTTATTATGAGGAACTGGTATTTCACTTGTATCATTGTTTAATTATGATTTTGGAAGACAAAAGTACAAGTATAGTAGGAGTATTCTGTGTTAATCACTTGGGTGTACAATTCAAATAAATGTCCACGGTGTTTGTATTCTTTACTTTTTTCTGTTTGTTCTAAATCTGTTTACTGAAATATAAATTTATGTCTGCTGAATCTAATAAAAAAGGGAGTTCTATTTTATTCTTTTTAAATTTAATTTTTCTAATTTTAATTTGTTACATTTTCACAAAAGTATTAGTGTGAGATGGATTGAATTTTTTTTCAAAATTAAAAACTAGTTCTTCCCCAAAGATAGCCTGAGAAGTACTGAACTAGAGGACTAAGAAAAGGCCACATGCTACTATTCTCATTTTTTTATTTAAGGATGATTCTCCAGACCCATCATCAGTAGGCGAGCTCTGAGCTTCTTTCTACTTGCAACAATGGGTTTATGAGGAGCTATCTACACCCGTTCTCCTGGTTCTCTCCCATCCCCATCCCCATGACTTTACAAGGTGATTCCCTATGGAATTAGTAATGCTGCCCAAAAAGAATAAGGTGAAAATAAGAAATATGGAACCTCAAATCAACTCAATGCATTTCAGATGATAAAACCAACTGTGTGAAGACTCAATAAAAAAGACCAAACAATGTAGGAAGCATGACACCTTACCCTTCATGTAAAGGAGAACTTTACAATTATTTTTACTTTTCCTTTCCTTCTTTTGAAAGACAGCACAGCCATCAGAAAAAAGCTAGCAACCCCCAGTTCAGCCTTCAGGATTTCATTTGAGAACATCTAAGAAGTATTTTTCTTCTCTCCATGAAATTATCTGCTAAAGCAGTTCTGCAATTATTCTGAATACATAGAAACTAAAATGACTTACACTCTGAAAGTTACATTTCCAACTGACTATGTGTGAAAAGCAGCTTTGGAAAATGTGCCTTTGTGTGCAGAACCCAGTGAGCAATTACCTATCCCCTCCTATCCAGGCTGTGCAAGCACAGAGCCTGGGCAGCACCTGTACCAAGGCTGCCAGTGCCTGCGGAGTTGGCACATAGACACCTGGAGTCTGATGGGAAACACGTTCACCGTCAAAGCCCTAGTTTCTTAAACCTGGACTGAATATAAATTTACCTTTTACAATTTCATAACTATAATTCCAACCTCTTAGAAATATCGGCTTGTGGCCAAGCGCAGTGGCTCATGCCTGTAATCCCAGTATTTTGGGAGGCCGAGGCAGGTGAATCACCAGGTCAGGAGTTTCAGACCATCCTGACCAACACAGTGAAACCCCATCTCTATTAAAAACACAAAAATTAGCCAGGCGTGGTGGCGGGTGCCTGTAATCCCAGCTACTCAGGAGGCTGAGGCAGGAGAATTGCTTGAACCTGGGAGATGGAGGTTGCAGTGAGCCGAGATTGCGCCATTGCACTCTGGGCAACAGGGCGAGACTCCATCTCAAAAAACAGAAAAAGAAAAAGAAAAAAAAGAAATATCAGCTTTTAAAATCCCTTTATGACTATGTATTCTCTCCTTCTAATTTTATCACACAGCAAACGTTACCATGTACTACTACTTTTCAAGAACCTAGGCTGAGAATTGGTAAGATCAAAGATGACTAAGACAATTTCTATGCTAAATGAGCTTTTACTATATGCTGAATAATTATTTTAATACTTTATATTTATTGATTACACTTTACATTCAAACAACACAACTGCCTTCATGCCACTGAAATAGGCAGAGGAAGGATCATTCCCATTTGCTTGAGGAGGAACTGAAGACTAGGACATATTACATCATCTCCTTATGTTAATACCACAAGGGGGCCAATCCAGAACATAATGGTAGTTAGGAGCATAGCTTTGGGGTCAGAGGGTTCTGATTCACAAACCAGCTCCAATAGTCATTGCCTTGGCTTCTTATTTTAGGCAAAATTGCCCTTCTGTGCCTCAGTTCTCTCTTGTTTTCTGTTTGTTTGTTTGTTTTTTGGAGACAAAGTCACTCTCACCCAGGCTAGAGTGCACTGGCGTGATCTCGGCCGATGGCAACCTTCACCTCCCAGTAAGGTTGGTGGAGTCATTCTCATGTCTCAGCCTCCTGAGTAGCTGTGATTACAGGTGTGCACCACCTGGCTAATTTTTGTATTTTTATTAGAGATGCGGTTTCACCATGTTGGCCAGGCTGGTCTTGAACTCCTGACCTCAGGTGATCCACTCTTCTCAGCCTCCCAAAGTGCTAGGATTACAGGCATGAGCCACCGCACCCGGCCTCAGTTTTCTTATATATAAAATGGAGATAAGTAACACCTGTCTCAATGGGTTATTGGAAGATTAATTGAGGAAATGTTCATGACGATGGGAGGAACTCAATAAATGATAGTAGCTACACTACTTTATCAAGGGTCCTTTACTAAGCTCCCACTAACATGTACCACAATATTTAAAAAATAACAGACATAGGAACTCACAGTGTAATAAAAGGATAAATAAGCAAAGAATGTAACATAATAAAACAAAAATGACAAATTGGGCATTGATAAGGACTGACTCCTGAACGTTCCCATAGTAACATCTAGACCTCAGAACACTTATTAGACACGCTATCATTGTCAGGGTCTCTAACCATCCACCCATTCCACCCCATCCCCACCGCAGCAGATTACAAGCTCCAGGTAATTTTTCCTCTTTTGCTAAATCCTTATTTACTGTACAAGCCCTGACAGACCACACAGCCCAGGAATGAGTGAGCCAAGGACAAAAAGCCATAATTCTTGCTCTTGGTACCTGCCATGTAGTAGGCACTCAACAAAGTTGAGTTAAAGTAAGTTGTTGATGACTAGGTTGTCCTTTCTAAAAATGTGTTTTGGGGTGCTACTCCTGTATGGAAAAGATCCCTGGGGCTCCACTCTTAGGTAGAGTCCACATCTTTTAGGACAGCAGCAGCTAATGCTCTGAGCCATCCCCAGCTAAACATCACTGTTCAAAAGCAGGTCCTTTCAGAAATAATTTGCAATGACTTCCTGAATAACAATGAACAAAAATCATTATTACTGAAGTATAGCATAAGACCGCTTCCAGGCTAACAGATTAGAAGATTCTCCCACAAGTTGAGAAGGCAGGAAAGGAAGGCCATCATGGAGGTGTGCATAGCTTATGTTTTCAAGTATGTTGTGTAGAGTATTCAATGTTATTCAGGATCTGGCCCCTGCATCTCTCCTGAGGGCAGTGGGACTGACACACGGGGCACTCCAAGTGATCTGATTCAACAAGAACTCTGGTCTAAGAAGGAAACTGGAGTTCTGACTCAGCAAAACAAAATGTCTATCCCTTTTGCTGACTAGCTTATCCTTCTAAGAAGGCATTCAATAGATATATTTGTTAACCAACTAAACATCCCTGGGCTCTTTCCCTCCCTGTGTACAGTGCTTTCCCTATGGTAAGTTCTAGTACCAACAATGTCTTGTTTATTACATTCCCAGCGCTATTTTTAGGGTCCTTTACAGATTGGTACTCTGTATTGCGGCCAGGCTGGCTGCCTTTTCATGTGCCCCCCTACAGAGTCTATTATCAACAGAGCAGCCAGTGACTCCTTAAAACCTAAGTCAAATCATGTCCCCTCGACTCCCCATGTCACTCAGAATGAAAGCCAAAGTCATGATCCAGAATTCCCTCTGACCTGTCCCCTGCTATCTCTCTAAGACCATCCTTCCACCCTAGCATCCTTGCTGTTACCTAAAGACATCATCCTGCTTTTAGGGCCTTTGCACTGGCGGCTACCTGTACAGGAAGACTCTTCCCCCAAATAACTGTACTGCTAACTACATCTCTTTTAAGTCTTGGCTCAACTGAATTTTTTTAAAAGGCTTCTCAAAGAGGTGTAACATTATATTTCACTTTCAACGCCCCCTCTGGCACTTGCAATTTCCTTTACCAAGCTCTATGATCCCCAACTCCCCATAGCATTTATTACCTTCTAACGAATCATAAAATTATTCAGTTTATTAATCAGTCACATAGCCCTTAGAATGTGGGAAGAATTGTTCTAAGCACTTTAGAAATAACTAATACAACTTTTATTATGTGTCTTATCTTCTGATTCCCTCCACTTGAGTATATGTTCCACAAGGGAAAGTACCTTTGTTATATTCACTAATGTAAATCTGGTGCTTAGACTACTGCCTACCACCTCAAGAGTGCTTAATAAATATTTATTAATAAAGAAATGATTCCCCTACTAGTTCCTCTCACAGAACTATCCTTAAGTTTCCCTTAACCATCTCAAGCTTTGTTGTCTCTCTGTCTTTGCATGGGCCACTCCCTCTCCCTGAAATGCCTTCCCCGTCATCTGCCTACAAACTCCTACTCATCCGTTAACTTCGTTCAAGCATCACCTCCCATGAGAAGCTTCCCTTCACCATATGCAGGCATAGTCAAGAGCTCCTTCCTCAGTGAAGCCATATCAAACCAAGGATGCCTTCCTAAAGAAGCCCAGCTCTGGCAAATAAAAGCGTCTGTGTTTGCCTTGCAGGCCATTTCCCCTGAGGGTCAGGGTAGAGCTGACACCTGACCAGCAAGCACAGGGTGGGGGTTGGAAGACCTCAATAAGACACTTCCCTGGAGCATAATTTGCTCCATCAATCACACAGAATAAACCAGATTCTGTGTCAAATAAGGAGAAAGGAGAGGAAGAAGAAAAGAAACCAGCTGCTCCATCCAAAGGAGCAATTAAAAAATATTTGAAAATAAACAGCAAAGGCAAAAGAAAAATTTTAAGTAGACAATGACTTCCTATGGAGGGTATGAAAAATGATGAGGTCAATCCAACAAAACTGAGTCATTCGGACCATAATCTATCTCCAGTGACTCCAAAGAACTACAAATTTTTCTCTGTCTTCACCTCTTGGAGGGACACAATCCTAACGCATTTAATTTATGTCATTTTTCTCCTCTGGTACTCCCAGGAGGTTTGAGAGTGCCATTTAAAAACTCTAAAAGACCAATAAAACTGCCCCAGCTTGGCCAGAGTTGAGGTTCTTATACAGGGCAACACCATTAAGCTTCAATTAAGGAATGTATTTAGGTAACCAGCACTGGTTTTAGATTTCCAGAGATAATTATTTGAGTTTTCAGGCACACTGTCATTAAAAACTGCTACAGAGCTTTAAAAATACCTACTGATTATGGTCCCTCAATTCTAAGTCTGACCAAGCATTTGAGAAAGCGTGATTTTGTCATAAAGACACCTGCAAACACAGACTTCTCCAAACATATAGGCCAATTACTTGCTTTGTGGCTTATCCAAGGAAAATACTGTTGCCAACTTCTAACTGATGCTTTATTCTGTTTAAGTTCAAGTTATCTTGGCTAACTCAAAGCCTAAATAGGGGTTAAAATACAAAGCCTTTTAATTATCCTCATCAATCATCCATCCAAGTTTATATTCAGAAAATATATTCCCATTTTTAGGCTTCCAGAAATAAATTCTTTTACTAGGCATAATTTCATTGAAAGCTTTTAATGAGTTTTGTAAATTACCATCCTTCCCAAGGAGGGTTCAAATCAGATTAAGATAGACTGAGAAAGGGAGCTGAGATTAGCCTCTGCCAGGTCACCAGCTACTTCCTATCACCAAACAATGGAGGAAGTTGCAAATAGCTATGAATAGATGCCTCAGTAGGCCATCTGGGCCATGGCATAGCACTTGACATGGGGCACACTCATGAGGTCTAATAGCTGCAGAAATCATCTCCTCATACTTCCTCCTACAGCATTCCTAATAGGGTAACCAAGAGTAAATATTTCCCCTCTTAGACAGCCTTCTAACTCTGCTTCCTCTGTTACTGACCAGCTCAGGTGTTGGAAACATTTCCCCTCTAGGTCTTCTCCACTGAACATAACTGCACCTTCTGGAGATACACAGGATGAGTCTGTTTTTTCTCTTCATGAAATTCTTCAAGTACTTAGAGTAATGCTGCTTAATAGAACTTTCTGTGATGATTGAGATGTACTGTATCTATGTGCTGTCCAGTATGGTAACCACTAGCAACACATGGCTCTTGAGTCCTTGAAATGTGCTGGTACAACTGAGGAACAATTTTTTTTATTTAACTTTAATTTCAATTTAAATAGTTACGTGTGGTTAGTGGCTATTATATTGAATGGTTCAGATTTAGGGACATTTCTCATGACCTGTTTGCCAAAAATCTTCCCTTTTTCAGATAAACAGCCCTTGCTTTTAAATAGTTTCTCAAAAAAAAGAAAGTCTTCTAGAATCTTCTCCATGCAATCAGTTCCTCTCTGAATATGTCCCAATTTGCCAAATTCCTATAATGTACTAAAACAGAGAACTCCTGGTAAGGTCTGACCAAAAAGGCTATACTCTCTTATCTGAGCCTGCTTAGATGTTTGAGAGTCCTCTTCTTAGACCTAACCTAGCCAGTAAGTGGCATATACTGGGCACTCAAGGAATATTTGCAGCTTATGTTAATATTGCAGATATTCTGGTATAACTTGATAAGCCTATTTTCCCAATTCTCCAGAGTCTTTTCAGATCTACTTTTTAAAACTGCTCTGTTCTGATTTGTTTTGTTGGCTTTGAGGATTTATGCCTCTCCAGAATATCAGTTATTCCTACATTAACGCTGTATATAAATTCATTTTTAAAACTAAACACAAATATTTTAAAAGATAACCAGGATTATTTGGTCTCCATCAGGGAACAGATAACAAAAGGTAACCTCAAAAAAAAGTCAATGTTCTCTGCAGGAGAATAAAACTTCTAGGTAAACACCTTCTTTCAGAGATCACAAATGACATCAATCAAAGTCAGAGAAAGTTAAATTCTTTATACTTGACAGAGCAGGACCCGTTTTTTTCACCCACTAGAAGTGTACTAGAAGCCACCTCAGAGAAGACCGCAGATAGTCTATGCACTGAAATGTCTTATATATTATACAATTAATCATATATCAGCAAATTACAATGGCTGTACTCATCTAGACAAGTCATTAAACAGGTGTTGCATTTCTCAAATACATATATATATATATACATATAAATTGAATTTGAGGAAGTTAAATAACGTTAGAGATGCTTTATCACTATTGCTGATTGTTCTTCAAAGAGCCAGCAGATCCCTAAACATTTAGCTTTAAGTTTTTCTTCTCCTCACACCAGATCATTAATAATCTGTAAACAGTCCCTGGGAAGAATTAAGAGAAGGCTATTTTCAAGAATTTGAGTAAATGCACTTACCTGTAAAGAGTTTTGCAAAGTGAATAATCACCACTAACAGATCTCAGAATTACTAAATATGATATATTTATAAATCAGGTTTCTTAAAGTAGGGCACACAACCTGAGAATTATTCAAATGCTAAGAATTCATTACAAAGCCACTGCTATAGACTAAAAGTTTGTGTCCCTTGAAAATTCATACAGCATGGTACTGGTATCAAAACAGAGATATGGATCAATGGAACAGAACAGAGGCCTCAGAAATAATGCCACATATCTACCACTATCTGATCTTTGACAAACCTGAGAAAAACAAGCAATGGGGAAAGGATTCCCTATTTAATAAATGGTGCTGGGAAAACTGGCTAGCCATATGTAGAAAGCTGAAACCGGATTCCTTCCTTACACCTTACACAAAAATCAATTCAAGATGGATTAAAGACTTAAACGTTAGACCTAAAACCATAAAAACCCTAGAAGAAAACCTAGGCATTACCATTCAGGACATAGGCACGGGCAAGGACTTCATGTCTAAAACACCAAAAGCAATGGCAACAAAAGCCAAAATTGACAAATGGGATCTAATTAAACTAAAGAGCTTCTGCACAGCAAAAGAAACTACCATTAGAGTGAACAGGCAACCCACAAAATGGGAGAAAATTTTCACAACCTACTCATCTGACAAAGGGCTAATATCCAGAATCTACAATGAACTCACACAAATTTACAAGAAAAAAACAAACAACCCCATCAAAAAGTGGGTGAAGGACATGAACAGACACTTCTCAAAAGAAGACATTTATGCAGACAAAAAACACATGAAAAAATGCTCACCATCACTGGCCATCAGAGAAATGCAAGTCAAAACCACAATGAGATAGCATCTCACACCAGTTAGAATGGCAATCATTAAAAAGTCAGGAAACAACAGCTGCTGGACAGGATGTGGAGAAATAGGAACACTTTTACACTGTTGGTGGGACTGTAAACTAGTTCAACCATTGTGGAAGTCAGTGTGGCGATTCCTCAGGGATCTGGAACTAGAAATACCATTTGACCCAGTCATCCCATTACTGGGTATATACCCAAAGGACTATAAATCATGCTGCTATAAAGACACATGCACACGTATGTTTATTGTGGCACTATTCACAATAGCAAAGACTTGGAACCAATCCAAATGTCCAACAATGATAGACTGGATTAAGAAAATGTGGCACATATACACCATGGAATACTATGCAGCCATAAAAAGGATGAGTTCATGTCCTTTGTAGGGACATGGATGAAATTGGAAATCATCATTCTCAGTAAACTATCGCAAGAACAAAAAACCAAACACCGCATATTCTCACTCATAGGTGGGAATTGAACAATGAGAACACATGGACACAGGAAGGGGAACATCAAACTCTGGGGACTGTTGTGGGGTGGGGGGAGGGGGGAGGGATAGCATTGGGAGATATACCTAATGCTAGATGACGAGTTAGTGGGTGAAGTGCACCAGCATGTCACATGTATACATATGTAACTAACCTGCACATTGTGCACATGTACCCTAAAACTTAAAGTATAATTAAAAAAAAAAAAAAGAACTCCTAATCCCCACTGTGATGTGTGATGGTATTAAGAGGTAGGGCCTTTGGTAGGTGATTAGGCCATGAGTGCAGAGCCCTTACCAATGGAAGTAGCATGGGAGGACACAGAAAAAAGATGGTGTCTATGAGCCAGGAAGTAGGCCTTCACCAAATGCAGATTCTGATGGTGCCTAGATCTTGTACTCCCCAGCTTCCAGAGCTGTGAGAAATAAATTTCTATTGTTTGCTATAGTAAACTATAGCTAAGACAGCTACCTTGTATGGCTGACAGAGACACCCTCCCTGCCCCCACTTTGTTGAGCTTCTGTATGCGAGTCATAAAGCCTTCTGAAGATAGGAGAGAACTGGACTGATGATCTTCAGTTGAGTGCCTAAAAACTCATAGAATGCCTTTTGTTTCTTCTAATAAGTAATTCTTTACCAAACTTAATGTATGCAAATCCTTTCTGTGTATGTTCAATAAAAATAAATGGCTACATGCTCACAGGTAGGCACAAACAAGGTAAGGTCTCTTTGATCTCACTAAGCCTCTTAGTCATCTTGGAAAATCTTTAGCCACAGAGTTCAGTCTCTTATTTTGTGAGACCAAGTATTAATTTTAACACAAAAAGTATAAAGGCCATTAAATATGTTCATGTGTGCCAGAATTCCATGAGCTCTAATTAAATTTTAACCAGAACACTAACCTATATGGATTCAAGGGAAACATTACCTTCTTAACACTTATCGTTTCAAGAAAATATTTTATCTAAATTATGATTATTTCTGATTTAGAATCTTTGCGAGCCTCTACCACTAGGTGCAAGAATGTCTTCCAGGCAGTCCTAGAGAATGTTATCCCAGAATGTGGGAGAGAGGGAGGGAGGCAGCAGAGGAAGCCCAGAGTGGTGGAGTAATTTAGACCATACCAACAGAACCACTAAGTGCCTGTGAAAACCTACATGTAATATAGTTAGACACTTCAGAGAAATTGGATCAAAGTGAAGAGTTAGGGGGAAATACTGATGATCTTAATTGGTTCATTATTCCTAATTTATTTAGAGGTAGGGATAGGATGGAGAAGAGGACAATTGAACAGGGCTTCAGTTCCCAACTGGTTTCTGGCCTCAATGAGAACAACTCCTTATAAAACTTGATTTCTAGGCCTGGCATGGTGGCTCAAGCTTGTAATCCCAGGACTTTGGGAGACCAAGGTAGGCAGATCACCTGAGATCAGGTGTTTGAGACCAGCATGGCCAACATAGTGAAACCCCATCTCTACTAAAAATACAAAAATTAGGTGGGTGTGGTGGTGCACCCCTGTAGTCCCAGCTACTAGGGAGGCTGAACCTGGGAGGCGGAGGTTGCAGTGAGCCAAGATTGCACCACTGCACTCCAGCCTAAGCAGCAGAGCGAGTCTCCGTCTCAAAAAAAAAAAAAAAAAAAAAATTTCTATATTGGGCTTCATGTAACCTTTTGTTTAATAAGATAAATACATTTTGAAAGCCTCTGAGCTAAATGGCCATCCCCTACAGAATTTATGAGGAAGAGAGCAGGGTTTCAATGACAGTGAAGAGGGTAGCTTTGTACTTAGGCATATAGGTAATAGAACTGGAAAGTGCTATTCCTACCTCTAATTATTTGTGCTGAAATCTAATTTAAGAGATTGCACAGAAGTTGTATAACATTATTGAAAGTAATCATTAAGCCTGCCAGGAAATTACCTTAAGTCTCAGAAGAATGCTGATGCACTTTGGCAGAGTCCAAGTGGAGTCATACAAACTTCTCATCTGTTAATGCCCCTCAATTTACTATAGAGCAAAATGATTCTGCTCCCTCATCTTCCCTGTCCACTTTCTAGCACTTTCCAAAAAAAGAGGTCTAGACTACAGCCATGCTAAACAGAGACTATCCCCATCAGGAACATGAAAACCATGTATAAGTCACAGCACTTCCGCAGTGAATACCAAGATAAAAAATATATGGCGTCTCTCCTCATGGAGCTGGGGTCTCATAGGAGAGAGAGGTACATGAATTGTATAGAAAGACAAAGAAAAGCAAACACTATAAAGATGAGGGAGCAAATGTTCAGCAGTGGCATGGATGGTAGGCAGAGGTACTGGCCGCTGAACCAATAAATAAATCAATTATGCATATCCTGGAGAAGCAGGAAAAGCTGGAACCACTGCTTCAGATTAGGACCCTCATTTCTTTTCTAGACAATTCTAACACCCTCTAAATGTGTCTCCCTGCTTACTTCATCTATTCTAGCCCATTCTGTACAACATCTGCTTAAAATCCTTCAGTGGCTCCCAACCAAACGCAGAAGTCAGCAGTGCTTACCATGACTTACGATGTTCTTCATGATCTGAATCTTGCCCACAACTCTGGCTTCATTTCTAAAGAATATGGGGCCTTCCTCAAAGGCTCCATGCTCTCAAGTATATCTGGGCCTTTGCACAAGGTGTTTCTTCTGTCCAGAACATCTTCCTATTCTCAGTCTGCAGTCTGGCTAACTCCCTTCATTCCTGGAGACACAGCTCCTCTAAAAAGCTTTTCTCGACAGCATCTGGGCTGGGCTAGCCACCCTTCCCCTGTGTTCCCAGAGCTCCCTGTGCTTAGCTCTATTGTAGTATTTGGCACTTTGCTTGCATCTGTCATGATATTTTTATCTGTATTAACTCCCCAAACTCAGATTGTGAATTCCTTAAGGGCAGAACGTTCATTATCTTTGTTATCACCAACGATTAGTGCAGTACCTGGCACATAATAGGGACTCAGCAAATGAGTTCAATAAAATAGCGACCTGAAGATCCATGACAAAGAGAGAAAATCCATAAACGTAAAGGGGAAAAATGTTAAAACTTTTTCTGTCATTTCTGGCTTGGAAACTAGAATCAAGTCACTTCATTACTCTGAAACTCAGGATTCTTACATGACAACAATGATTAACAGACCACACAAAGTAGTAGGAAGTACAAGAACCTTGGAATCGGCCATCCCTAGAACTCAATCCTTCATCTAGGCAATTATAGGCTATACGATTTAGGGCAAGTCACTTAGCACCTAGATGCCTCAGTGTCCACATGAAAATGGGGATAATAACAGTACCTATCTGATAGAGTTATTTAGAGGGTTAAATGAACTATCACCTTGAAAGCATTCAGAAAAGTGTCTGCCACACTGCAACTAATAAATGCTAGGTATCATTGTTGTTATTTTATGAAAATGCTTTGTACAATTTATAGATTCAATGCTATTCCTGTTCAACTACCACTGAAATTCTTCACAAAATTAGAAACAACTATTTTAAAATTCACATGGAATCAAAAAAGAGCCCAAATAGCCAAGAAAATGCTAAGCAAAAAGGACAAAGCTGGAAATATCACCGTACCTAACTTCAAACTATACTACAGGGCTACAGTAACCAAAACAGCTTGGTAGAGGTACAAGAACAGACACATAGACCAGTAGAATAGAATAGAGAACCCAGAAACAGGACCACACAGCTACAACCATCTGATCTTGGACAAACCTGACAAAAAACAAGCAATGGGGAAAGTATTCCCTATTTAATAAATGGTGCTGGGAGAACTGGCTAGGCATATGCAGAAAATTAAAACTGGACCCCTTCCTTACACCTTACATAAAAATCAACTAAAGATGGATTAAAAACTTAAATATAAAACCCAAATATAAAACCCCTTCCTTACGCCTTATATAAAAATCAACTAAAGATGGATTAAAAACTTAAATATAAAACCCAAAACTATAAAAAGCCTAGAAGAAAACCTAGGCAATACCATTCAGGACATAGGCATGGGCAAAGATTTCATGATGAAGATACCAAAAGCAACTGCAACAAAAGCAAAAGTTGACAAATGGGGTCTAATTAAACTAAAGAGCTTCTGCACAGCAAAAGAAACTATCAACAGAGTAAACACAACCTATAGAATGGGAGAACATTTTTGCAATATATCCATCTGACAAAGGTCTAATATCCAGCATCTATAAGAAACTTAAACAGATTTACAAGAGAAAAACAACCCCATTAAAAAGTGGGCAAAAGACATGAACAGACACTTCTCAAAAGAAGACATTCATGTGGCCAAAAAACATATGAAAAAAGCTCAACATCACTAATCATTAGAGAAATGCAAATCAAAACCACAATGAGATACCATCTCACACCAGTCAGAATGGCCACTAAAAAGTCAAACAACAACAGATGCTGGCAGGGTTGCAGAGAAAAAGGAACGCTTTTACATTGCTGGTGGGAGTGTAAATTAGTTCAACCATTGTGGAAGACAGTGTGGAGATTCCTCAAAGACCTAGAGGCAGAAATACCATTTGATCCAGTAATTCCATTACCAAGTATATACCCAAAGGAATATAAGTCATTTTATTATAAAGTCACATGCACGCATATGTTCATTGCAGCAGCATTCACAACAGCAAAGACATGGAATCAACCTGAATGTCCATCAGTGACAGACTGGATAAAGAAAATGTGGTACATATACACCATGGAATACTATGCAGCCGTTAAAAGGAATGAGATAGTGTCCTTTGCAGGGACATGGATGGAGCTGGAAGTCATTATCTTTAGCAAACTAACACAGGAACAGAAAACCAAATACTACATGTTCTCACTTATAAGTGGGAGTGAAATGATGAGAACACATGGACACACGCTGGGGAACAACAAACGCTGGGGAACAACAAATACTGGGGCCTGTTGGAAGGTGAGGGGTGGGAAGAGGGAGAGAATCAGGAAGACTAGCTAATGGATGCTGGGCTTAATACCTGGGTGATGGGATGATCTGTGCAGTATACCACCATGGCACACATGTGCCTGTGTAACAAACCCACACATCCTACACGTGTACCCCTGAACTTAAAAGTTGGAAATTATTTCAAAAAATGCTTTGTAAATTGCCATATAAATGTCTATTTTCTTAAAAATAGAATAGCCTTTTTGAGATTATACTAGGGAAAGTTCCCTGAGGGCTACAGGACAGAAGAACTTTATATCAAATGTGACTCTAGTTTTTAAAGTGATACTCTACTCGATTTCATTTACAAGTATTCTGTGTATCTTTTAAAACTCAAAAGATAGACTTTTAAAGAAAAAACAATTTGTATTCATATTGGGAAAAGTTGCCTTAGCATTCTTAAGTTGGATTCTATCTTCTCTAGGACAAATGAAGAATCACCTGACGGTCTGTCTAAAGCGAGATCTATCTGGAACAAAGGAATGGCCCAGGACCAATAAGCAAGTTACCCAATGCTGAGTGAGAGTGAGAGAGTGAGAGACAGAGACAGACAGAGACAGACAGAGAGAGACAGTCCTGATGTTTTCTGAAATGTTTCTCCAGGAAATACCTGATCATGTATTTAATTTTCTCAGTCTATGACAACAGAGGTCAAAGACAAAATGTCTCTCAACCACAGCATTAACTGCATTAGGGCATTTTTCTTTTGGTAAAGGCAACGTACACACCTCAGATAATAACTCTGGAGCTGTTTTGTTTGTTGCTGTTGTTGTTGCCTTTTGGGTGTTTTTGTTTTTTTAACATGCTAGATCTAAAACAAAACAAAACAAAAAAATAAAACGAAAAAAAACAAAACCAGCAGTTGTTCTCCTGATTGCTTTCAGTCTTTGAGGTGGCTAAATGAAGGGCCAAGAAAAGAAAATATATCATGAGGCAAAAGAAAGAAAAAAGCCAAGGAAAGAAACCATGAGGAACAACTGACTGGGGCTGCTTCGCAACAGTTATTTGCATACATGCCTGCGGCAGGCAGGAGGGGGGCATTTGGTGAAGGGAACCTGTGTGAACAGTGTCAAGCCTCTCCTCTGGATCCCATCAGGAGAGGGCAAAATGGAAATAATAACATCCCACCAGGTGGACCTGGAATTAAATACTTGGAAGAACACACTTCGAGCATTCTGCAAAGCGGGGTTGCAAAAGCAAGCTTGGAGTCTTCTCTAGAGATGTTTAAGGGAAGCTAAATTTGTTTTCAAGGGATAGCCTGCATTAGCAGTTTTCAGCTTTCTGTGGAAGTTATCATTTCAGACTCAAAAAAGCCCCTCAAGTCACCCAAGCTACCATTGCTTCCCTGCTACCGTTAAAATAACAAAACTCAAACAAATCACAAGCTCACCAAAACTATCAGGAGGAATGATGGTATAGTTTACACTGTTGGTGATCAGACTTCACTAACAAGGTCAAACTTGTGGATTTGAATCTTGTATGGACCTGTTGCTTTTCTCCTCACAGACAGACACCAGGCCAGCTGTCCCACAAATGTGGGCCAGTAGACAGGACAGAGATGGGGCAAAACAGAGCGGTAGCCTCTGCAAAAACCTGTTCCTCATACTTAAAAAAACAACTCAAAACCTGGACCCCAAAAATGGTCAGTCAGTAATGGACAACAAATGAAGCTGCTTCCTGTTAAATACCCTTTAACTATTTAAGGGAATCACTAGTTTATGCCTCTTCCTCTTCCAAAGTGGATACTCTCATCTCAGTTCCATGTTTTGTCGTTTATACTTGTCTTCTTCTAAAAGGAAGCCAAGGTAGTTCAATATCCTATTAATACCATAAAAGGCCAGCCTTCAAGGCCCCCTGTAAGATCCAGTGAACTGTAAGCTATCAACTAGTTCCTTCTAGCCATGAGTTTCTGGGATCCTCTACATTTTCAAGAAAACCATCAGAGAATGGGAAGTTTATTTTACTCCCTGCACAGCAAATGCTGAATTTTAGAATATGATTCAGGCTGGGAAAAATAATTAATTGCGAAATGATAACTTCTACTCCTATATAGCTAGATTAAATGTAGATATTCTTAAAACTACTTAAGAAATTGACATGTTTCTCTCAGCCACCCATGGTGATAACTTTATAGGACTTGGGACATGGGAAAAAGTAACAGGCCCATGCAGATCCAAAATCTTGAATCTATATGGGAATAATCACTGCTATTATTATACCCCAAGTCTTCTATAATCTCTTATTTTAACATGGGGAAAACTGCTCACTAGTAGGTTTTTCCCCTGTGTATATACATAGGATCTGTCTTCTTTTCTAAGGACCAATGAACCCTAATAAAGTATGATCCTAATGAATTGTTAATACTACTGGACTAAAGCAGTAGGGGACCAGGGACAGAGACTTGGTGTTGTCTTTCAATCCCATGCACACTCTGGAGGGGATAAAGAAATATATGTGGGATGACACAGTGTGAGAGAATCCTGAAAACTTCTGACAAGCAGGTTTTTAAGCGGCTATAACATGAGCTCCTTCTTCAACAAAATTTCCCCAAATGAATACCCATTGAGTGCTCTCATTCCACTTACTGTAGGTGATAAACACTGACCCAACACACACCTACTCAGTGAATCTGATGTACTTGCAAATTTGGCTTTGTCCCCACCAGCTCTGGATTTTCCATTTGCTCTGCTAGCCAAAAATAGCACCAGGGCACAAGAACATGTTGCTTACCTCCCCTACCATGGTCATGGAAGCTCACCCACAATCACATAAGGTCTTAGTTATTTTAATAAGACATGAAATTATTCCTTTGAAATAAGAATACTCTGCAGCATAGAGTAATAAAACCCCAAATATAACAAGTGTTATCTTAAAAAATCAAACTCTTTATTTAGAGACACGAAGAGGGTTTTTCTAGGTTGGCAGATAGACAGGGAACACAGATGGTGAGAGACTGTGCTAACAAATGGACTAGATAAAAAAATAACCATTATATGCTAGTCAAAGGTACAATGATTTAGTAAGCCGGGCATGTTAGCGGAATTTAAATTCAACTGACATCTACTGACTGGTTACTAAGTGTGGGGCACAGGGTTAGATCCTTTAATCATGGCATAACATTTATTACTCATACCCGTGTGTGGTGTTACTATTTTCAGATTTCAGGTGATAAAACAGCTGAGTTTTAAGGAAAGCAGGCTGAAAATCCCCTCAGTGATGATGAGGTTGACAACCCTAATAGACCCACATTCTAGATCATTAGTGCAAGAGTGGTCTCTAGCATCTTACCCACATGCAGTCCTTTTTACCACTGGCATTACTGGCCTTCTATAACAAACCCTATAGCTAAAGTTGTTTTTTTTCAGTGATGGAAGTTAATTTGCACTGAGCAACCAGTACCATCTTCTCTGTCCCATCTTGTGAATAACAGCATACATCTGTGAGACAGTTTGCCACAAGAACTCTAAGAAGGCTTTGTTTCCCATCTGGGAGATGGATGCCCCACCACCCACATTTCCTCATTCACTACATATATTAACAAGCCAATAAGCCAAAGTTACAGAGAAAGTAGTCTTTCCTCTAAAATGTCCTTGGTGAAAGAAATAAGGAATGTGCCCGCAAATCATTCAAAGTCATCTAATACGGATCCATTACAAGACCTGCAGAAGGTAGAGAAAGCTCTCTTAGCGGAAGCAAGAAAAAGGAATGATATTGCATTGGATCAACTAGTGCATAGCTCTGCTGCTTAGGTTGAGTTAATGTGCTTCCAAGAAATATGGGAGTGGCGCTTCTAGACCACTGGACCATTCTGATAAACCATTAATGATACTAACAGTGATTGGTGCTCTATATGCTGAGCAATCACCCAGAAAATAGCCCCCCTGGAATATCCTATTGTATAATTTATTAAGAAACTAACCACTAATATGCTTAGCTCTTCAGAAGGTGGAAGAAGCAGGCTATTTGACAAATGTTTGCACTCTCCCATTCTGGCTGAATGCTGATCTTTCTATGCTGTAACACTACTCTGGTATCAGTTATCACTAGGGTTTTGGGTTGGAATTCTTCTCTCTTTGAAATCAAATCTCTCAACACCTGACATACTAGGGCTAAACTGCCCTAAGTGGACATTGAGGCAGGGAGGTCAAGGCTAATTAAAAACAACCAAATGGCACACAGTATTTACCAGAGGTCACAGGATCATGTCCATTTAATGCATGTTTGTGTAGAAAGGAGCACAGCATTAATGTTCATTTACTGTCAGAGGTTGAGGGCAACTGTTTGTTATTTGTAATAACATTTTGTTGTAGAAACACAGCTATCAGCGTCATCTAGTTCATCTACTCTTAGAGCACAGATAGACTAAGAAGATGACTTGTCTTTATCTGTACCTCACATACAACTCTGCTTCAGAAACAGTCAGCTGCCTTGTCCAGGTGAATAGCAATTGACTCTGAGTAAGAAGGGCTTAGGAGTTGGTATGGCTTACTGTCAATATATCAACTAATAATTTTTTCCCAAAGATGCTGATTTACTGATGAGACCACAAAGAAGGACTTCTGTCATGGCCCATGTTTATCAATACCCTCCAGCAGCAACTGGTGCCCTTAGGGATTTCCAGCAAGCCAAGTTACAATTCCTTTTTTGGTTTAGCTGAATTTTTGGTAAAAACAATCTGCTGGGGCAAGGGAAAAAACACCTTGGTGATAAATAAGATAATGTATATAAAAGTTCCTAACACTCTGTCTGGCATAAAACTGGCATTCAAATAGGTTTCTTCCAGCTAGGTGCATTGGCTCATGCCTGTAATCCCAGCATTTTGGGAGACCAAGGCAGGTGGGTCACGAGGTCAAGAGATCGAGACCATCCTGGACAACATGGGGAAATGCTGTCTCTACTAAAAATACAAAAAAATTAGCTGGGCACCACAGTGCACTCAAACTAGAACTCAGGATTAAGAAACTCACTCAAAACCGCTCAACTACATGGAAACTGAACAACCTGCTCCTGAATGACTACTGGGTATATAATGAAATGAAGACAGAAATAAGGATGTTCTTTGAAACCAATGAGAACAAAGACACAACATACCAGAATCTCTGGGACACATTCAAAGCAGTGTGTAGAGGGAAATTTATAGCACTAAATGCCCACAGGAGAAAGCAGGAAAGATCTAAAATAGACACCCTAACATCACCATTAAAAGAACTAGAAAAGCAAGAGCAAACACATTCAAACGCTAGCAGAAGGCAAGAAATAACTAAGATCAGAGCAGAACTGAAGGAAATAGAGACACAAAAAACCCTTCAAAAAATCAACGAATCCAGAAGCTGGTTTTTTGAAAAGATCAACAAAATTGATAGATCGCTAGCAAGACTAATAAAGAAGAAAAAAGAGAAGAATCAAACAGATGCAATAAAAAATGATAAAGGGGATATCACCACTGATCCCACAGAAATACAAACTACCATCAGAGAATACTATAAACACCTCTACGCAAATAAACTAGAAAATCTAGAAGAAATGGATAAATTCCTCGACACATACATCCTCCCAAGACTAAACCAGGAAGAAGTTGAATCTCTGAATAGACCAATAACCGGCTCTGAAATTGAGGCAATAATCAATAGCTAACCAACCAAAAAAAGTCCAGGACCAGATGGATTCACAGCCGAATTCTACCTGAGGTACAAAGAGGAGCTGGTACCATTCCTTCTGAAACTATTCCAATCAATAGAAAAAGAGGGAATCCTCCCCAACTCATTTTATGAGGCCAGCATCATCCTGATACCAAAGCCTGGCAGAAACACAACCAAAAAAGAGAATTTTAGACCAATATCCTTGATGAACATCGATGCAAAAATCCTCAATAAAATACTGGCAAACCAAATCCAGCAGCACATCAAAAAGCTTATCCACCATGATCAAGTGGGCTTCATCCCTGGGATGCAAGGCTGGTTAAACATACGCAAATCAATAAATGTAATCCAGCATATAAACAGAACCAAAGACAAAAACCACATGATTATCTCAATAGATGCAGAAAAGGCCTTTGACAAAATTCAACAACGCTTCATGCTAAACACTCTCAATAAACTAGGTATTGATGGGACGTATCTCAAAATAATGAGAGCTATCTATGACAAACCCACAGCCAATATCACACTGAATGGGCAAAAACTGGAAGCATTCCCTTTCAAAACTGGCACAACACAGGGATGCCTTCTCTCACCACTCCTATTCAACATAGTGTTGGAAGTTCTGGCCAGGGCAATCAGGCAGGAGAAGGAAATAAAGGGTATTCAATTAGGAAAAGAGGAAGTCAAATTGTCCCTGTTTGCAGATGACATGATTGTATATCTAGAAAACCCCATCGTCTCAGCCCAAAATCTCCTCAAGCTGATAAGCAACTTCAGCAAAGTCTCAGGATACAAAATCAATGTGCAAAAATCACAAGCATTCTTATACACCAATAACAGACAAACAGAGAGCCAAATCATGAGTGAACTCCCATTCACAATTGCTTCAAAGAGAATAAAATACCTGGGAATCCAACTTACAAGGGATGTGAAGGACCTCTTCAAGGAGAACTACAAACCACTGCTCAATGAAATAAAAGAGGACACAAACAAATGGAAGAACATTCCATGCTCATGTGTAGGAAGAATCAATATCATGAAAATGGCCGTACTTCCCAAGGTAATTTATAGATTCAATGCCATCGCCATCAAGCTACCAATGACTTTCTTCACAGAATTGGAAAAAACTACTTTAAAGTTGATATGGAACCAAAAAAGAGCCCGCATCGCCAAGTCAATCCTAAGCCAAAAGAACAAACCTGGAGGCATCACGCTGCCTGACTTCAAACTATACTACAAGGCTACAGTAATCAAAACAGCATGGTACTGGTACCAAAACAGAGATATAGATCAATGGAACAGAACAGAGCCCTCAGAAATAATGCCACATATCTACAACCATCTGATCTTTGACAAACCTGAGAAAAACAAGCAATGGGGAAAGGATTCCCTATTTAATAAATGGTGCTGGGAAAACTGGCTAGCCATATGTAGAAAGCTGAAACTGGATCCCTTCCTTACACCTTACACAAAAATTAATTCAAGATGGATTAAAGACTTGCATGTTAGACCTACAACCATAAAAACCCTAGAAGAAAACATAGGCATTACCATTCAGGACATAGGCACGGGCAAGGACTTCATGTCTAAAACACCAAAAGCAATGGCAACAAAAGCCAAAATTGACAAATGGGATCTAATTAAACTAAAGAGCTTCTGCACAGCAAAAGAAACTACCATCAGAGTGAACAGGCAACCTACAGAATGGAAGAAAATTTTTGCAACCTACTCATCTGACAAAGGGCTAATATCCAGAATCTACAATGAACTCAAATAAATTTACAAGAAAAATCAAACAACCCCATCAAAAAGTGGGCGAAGGACATGAACAGACACTTCTCAAAAGAAGACATTTATGCAGACAAAAAACACGTGAAAAAATGCTCACCATCACTGGCCATCAGAGAAATGCAAATCAAAACCACAATGAGATAGCATCTCACACCAGTTAGAATGGCAATCATTAAAAAGTCAGGAAACAACAGCTGCTGGACAGGATGTGGAGAAATAGGAACACTTTTACACTTTTGGTGGGACTGTAAACTAGTTCAACCATTGTGGAAGTCAGTGTGGCGATTCCTCAGGGATCTGGAACTAGAAATACCATTTGACCCAGCCATCCCATTACTGGGCATATACCCAAAGGACTACAAATCGTGCTGCTATAAAGACACATGCACACGTATGTTTATTGCGGCACTATTCACAATAGCAAAGACTTGGAACCAATCCAAATGTCCAACAACGATAGACTGGATTAAGAAAATGTGGCACATATTCACAATGGAATACTATGCAGCCATAAAAAATGATGAGTTCATGTCCTTTGTAGGGACATGGATGAAACTGGAAACCATCATTCTCAGCAAACTATCACAAGGACAAAAAACCAAACACCGCATGTTCTCACTCATAGGTGGGAACTGAACAATGAGAACACATGAAGACAGTAAGGAGAACATCACACAACGGGGCCTGTTGTGGGGTGGGGGGAGGGGGGAGAGATAGCATTAGGAGATATACCTAATGCTAAATGACGAGTTAATGGGTGCAGCACGCCAAGATGGCACATGTATACATATGTAACAAAGCTGCACGTTGTGCACATGTACCCTAAAACTTAAAGTATAATAATAATAAAATTTTAAAAAATAAATAAATAAAAATAAAGATATAATTGACATGTTAAATCTACAGAATAAAAAAGAATAAAATGTGGGAAAAAAAAAAGAAATTTTTTAGCATCTCCTTCGTGACCAAAATTACCATGAGCAAAATTAGATAGAATGTAACCATTCCCCTAGCTCTAAGTGTGCAGGTCAGAGATGAAGAGTGGAAGACTGAAAGGGTGGGCCAGATCCTGGAAGGCAACTGTCGTTTAAGATGAAAAACAGTGATAACTGCTGAGAAATCTCAGCCTTAAGTGTGTTGAAAGTTGATAATGTCCATCTATGTGGTGAACAATTTGTGAAACAAGACTGTCAAAGAGAGTTATAGGTTCTTGGAAGTAAGAGGCAACATCTTATGAATCTTAATACCTTCTAGATAGTTAAAGATAGTGTCTTATAGATAGTAATACCTTATAGGTAGTAGACATTCAATAAATGTTGTCTGAATTATGTTATTCAACATACCATATCTCTTTCCTGTCATTTTACAATTTAGAAAATGATTTGACACCAAGAATTGGGTACGTGAACCATTGAAATCTGCCAATGCTCACATTTCTCTTACTGACTGGTTGGTCACATGGCTACTTTCCTTGACCCTTGTCTTTATAAATTCTATTCAATTTAATTTGCATGTGAGTTGAGTTCTGTCAAGACTCAATAGTCCATGTTAACAATCTACGTTCTAGATCATTAGTGCAAGAGTGGACTCTAGCGTCTCACCCACATGCAGTCCTTTATATCACTGACATTACTGGCCTTCTATGATAAGCCCTATAACTAAAGTTGTTTTTTTCAGTGATGGAAGTTAATTTGCACTGAGCCATAAGTACCATCTTCTCTGTCCCATCTTTTGAATAACAGCATAAATCTGCGAGATAGTTGGTCAAGATAGAATCTTGGTCACGTGACATTTTTCTGTATGAAAAATAAATTAGGTTCTTATGAGGCCCAAGCATGAAATTTTGGCTTCATAATAATATACTATATATTTGACTTCATAATAACATCTTACCAACTGGGCCCCCATTTCAATTTTTTTTCTACTTTATGATTCTTCTCAAATAAACTACAGATTCCTTAATTGCATGTGTGGCAGAGCACATTATTAGGTGTTATAGAGGTTACAAAGGTAAAGAGTTAAGTGTCTTAGACCTTAAAAAGCTTAGAGTATAGCAGAGAAAGAAATGTACACAACTAATTACAATTCAAGGCAAAGTAAAATAACTTTAAGAGAAAAAAAGATTAAGTAGTACACTAAAAGGCAATGCAAGATTACTTCTAGATAGAAGGATATCAACTCCTTCTTTAAAGATGTGAGCATTGGAACCTGGCCTTACACATATACATACATGTGTATGTGTATTATGTGTGCATATTAAAATATACATATACTTGTACAGAATCCTATAAACATTCTACTATATGGATACAATTCAGACAAAATTAAAAACAACAGAATTCCCTCTAAGAATTTCTGTAAGGATTCATTTGGATTACCATTGCCTCCTTGGAGGATTTGAATTAGAATAGAGTTTGTCAAACCATGGTTTTAAGCCATGAGCCTTTTTTTGCGTGTGTGTGCTTTTCTTTCTTTCTTTTTTTTTTTTTTTTTGAGACGGAGTTTTGCTCTTTTTTGCCCAGACTGGAGTTCAATGGCATGATCTCAGCTCACTGCAACCTCCACCTCCCGGGTTCAAGCGATTCTCATGCCTCAGCCTCCTGGGTAGCTGGGATTACAAGCATGCACCACCACACCCAGCTAGTTTTGTATTTTTACCAGAGACGGGGTTTCTCCATGTTGGTTAGGCTGGTCTCAAATTCCCGACCTCAGGTGATCCGCCCACCTCAGCCTCCCAAAGTGCTGGGATTACAGGCATGAGCCACTGTGCCCAGCTGCCATGAGCCTTTTAATCAAGCAACAATTCAAATAGAAGTTCAATATGTAAAACAAAGAATAGCTACTTAGATGGGAGAAGAAGGAGCTCCATCTACCCCACCCCTTTCCCAAACTTGCCCACAGCCCAGGGTGGAAACTCCTTGAAAAGATGACCAATAAATCCCTTCCTGCTGTTACTGTCTGTGATTTAAGTGTAAGTCCATGGAGCACATGGTAAACCACAGCACTGTGTGTCTTAGAAGGAACAATAAATAATAATAAAATTTTAAAAAATAAATAAATAAAAATAAAGATATAATTGACATGTTAAATCTACAGAATAAAAAAGAATAAAATGTGGGGAAAAAAAAGAAAATTTTAGCATCTCCTTCGTGACCAAAATTATCATGAGCAAAACTAGATAGAATGTAACCATTCCCCTAGCTCTAAGTGTGCAGGTCACTTGCACACTTGCAGCTCTAAGTGCAAGGCTCATACATGAGCTGTGAAAGACACTGATTAGCAGGAAGAGATGAAGCAAATAATTAACTTTTATCTAAAAACATCTGGGGCCAGGTGCGGTGGCTCAGGCCTGTAATCCCATCCTTTTGGGAGGCTGAGGCAGATGGATCACTTGAGGTCAGGATTTAAGACCAGCCTAGCCAACATGGTGAAACCCAGTCTCTACTGAAGAAAAAAAAAATACCAAAAAAAAGTAGCTGGGCGTGGTGGCGCGCACCTGTAGCTCCAGCTACTCGGGAGGCTGAGGCATGAGAATCGCTTGAATCCGGGAGGCGGAGGTTGCAGTGAGTCGAGATCCTGTCACCGCACTCCAGCCTGGATGACAGAGTGAGACTCTGTCTCAAAAAGAAAAAATGTTTTTTAAAAAAGCATTTGGATCTGTGTTAAATGCAGAACCCAGAAATTAACTGCTGAATCCAAAGGGGGCTTTGGAGATGTGCAGGCCTATCACTCCTCCCACAGTTCTGCTAGCTTGGCCTTGGCAAAGCAAGAACTCTGGAGGGACTTTGGGGCACCAGCTCAGGCCTGACACAGCAGTCTCAACAGCAAGCCAAGAGGCAGAACAATGCCACTCTAACATCATGATTCACAGTGAGTGAAAGCCACAATAAAGCTTTTCATCAGAGGAAAGGGAAAATAGGCTTTGTTTATCAGCATCCTGGGGGAGATCAAAAGCCTACTTTCTAGAGCTTGTTCCAGATGTCTCTTCTACCTCTTTAGAGCCTACTGGCCTCCAACAGCCATGCTCAGTATCTCTCATTTCATGCACAAAAAGGTCATTTCAGGCACAGCAAGAGAGCAGGCAGCTCTCTGCATTCTCATGCTGCCAAATCAACCTTCTCACTCACCTAAAGAGCTGTTCAATATTTGTCTTCATGGCCCACGTATCCTCAGAAGACAAAGCCATGTGCTGTCTGCTCTGGGACACAGAAAAAGGAGTTAATCCAGCTTTCTCTCTGAGTTGACTAAATAATGCTAAATGATTCTCTCTGGTCACAGCACTGCCAGCCTTTGGAAAGTGATGACTCCTGAGCCCAAGAAGCTCCCAACTAATAGAGAACATGTTGTTGTCTCCCTCAAAGTGTTCTTGGTCTAGTGTGTTTGGGTACCTTGTTCTTTCACTTTCTCATTTCTTGAGCTAAGACATAACTATTACAGCCAAAATAACCTACTTCTATCATCCCAACAGTGTGGTAGGAAAGCTATGTTCTTAAAATAAATGTCACACGACACCGTAAAGTGAAGCAACACTGGATTTGAGAGTCAGGAACTAGATTAGTGTCATACCTCTGCCATTCACTAGGTGGGTAACTTTGAGAGTCACATTACCTCTCTGACCTTTAGTTTCATCAATTGGAGATATACCTATTCAAAAATCAATAAATACCATCTTGTGTCACTTAACAATAAGACACAGTTTGGGAAATACATTTTTAGGTGATCCCATCCTTGTGTGAGCATCATAGAGTATACTCATATGAACCTAGATGGGATACCTACTATAATCTCAGGCTATGTGGTATAGCCTGTTGCTCCTAGGCTACAAACCTGTACGCCTTGTTACTGTACTAAATGCTGTAAGCTATAATAACACGATGGTAAGTATCTGGGTATCTACAAATACCTAAACATAGAAAAGACACAGTAAAAATATGGTATTATAACATATGGGAACCACCATCCTTTACGCGGTTTGTTGTTGAGTGAAATGTTATGTGGCACATGACTGTATTTACTGAGTCCCTGCCTACTACATGCCAGGAATCATGCTAAATGCTAAGGATATTCTGGTGAGCAAATCAGACTTGGCCTTTGCCCCCACACAGTTTAAAGACTAACAGAAGAGAAAGAGAGTAAATAAGGAAACAAATATATATTTACAAATTAGAAGTGTTTGGAAGAATAAAAAAACAATGTGCTTAGAAAGAAAGCATGATGGAGAATGAGGCTTTTTCCCTCTGGAGGTACAGAAAGCATCTCTAAGGGGAGTATGTGTGAGGGAGGAGGAAAAGCCATCAGAGAAAACAGTGGAGAAGGGGGATTCCAGGCTGACGGAACATCATAGGCAAAGGCCCAGAGGGAAGGAGGGGCTTGGCATGTTCAAAAGCTCAAAGAAGCTCAAGTGTTTGGAGCTGGGAGCTTGGGAAGCAAGAGGAGGTGGTGCGAGAGAAGGCTGGAGAGGGAGCAGCCAAGAAAAGTAACCAAGTCCTGCAAAGCTGCAGTGCTGTGCCTAGCACATAGTAGGCCCTCAGTCAACATGGGCTGCATGCAAAGGTTTTCTTTGACCAGGAGAGTAAATTTTAAATTTTAATTAACCTAAGTGACTTCTAGGAAGCCTTCTATTTTAATGATTCTAGTCCCCAGATTGCTGAGGAAAAAATTTTTAAAGAGCCCCTTGTCCTTTGTGAACCACAAAATAAACAAAACGCCTGTGGAATGAGAATTTCACCCTTAGAGCCCCTACCTCAACCACCAAAGTCAAGGATGCACTATTTAAATAATATTTAGGCAAACGCGCTTGGCCCAAGGGAAACAATATATGCTTCTAAAGCCACAAACATTATGTAGGTTACAGGTTAAAATCATTCCATGGTTCCCTTACTTTCATGAACAAACACTAGCTTTACTAATCAAGAAAAGATGTTAGAATTTCTTAGATATCCCATTAAGAAGACCCATACAGCCAAAGGCAACGTGGAAATTCTAGGCACAACTGTGCCATCTGTTTATGCTCAAAAGATGAGTTTCACATCACATCTTATCTGAGTGGTATGTCCTCTTTTGGGGCCCCTGTCTTCTATTCTTTCCCTAGTTCCAACATTTCCATCATGTGCTAGCTTTTCCAGTGGAAATCAAGCATGAATATAAGGCCACTCAAAAGCTCTACAGAAAAACCACTAAAATGTTCATTTTTCCAAGATAATGTTTGGCGGCTATGGTAAAAAAGTGCAAGAGATCTGGAGTGAGACAGAGCTGGATTCAACCCCTAGCTCTGCCACTTACTGGCCACGTAAACTTTTGTTCCTTTTTGAGTCTCAGTTTCTTTTTCTGTCAAGCAGAGATAACACCTACCTGGTAGGGCCTCTGTGGCTTAAAAGAGATCACATCTAAAGCCCCTTGCCCATGGTATAGAGCATAGCAGGCACAAAATAACAGAAAGCCAGGTTTGGAAGGTGGCCCAAGTTTGAGATGCAGCAAAGTCCTTGTAGCCAGGACTGCTCCCCAGAGGCTTGGCCACTGAGGCAGATGATAAACAGAGAGAGCTGGAGCTTGTCATGAGAGGCCAACCCTGCTGACTCAACAGTGCCAGAAACTTTCCAATGGATCTCAAATCCCCCAGAGAACTCTGTCCTACAGGAGGACCCAGGGCTCCTGGTGGGCAAGTGCATTCCTCAAGGGCACTCTACAGAGCCCAGGCCCAGCCTGATTGGGTACAACTAACCAGAGAAGCATTTACCTTTAAGAGCTTCAAAAGCCACAGTTGGACCTAGCCCAGGGTCAGAGAAACACAATCCTTGGAAGATTTATCAGGTCTTGCCAGGACCCTGGTTTGCATCTTTCTTGCCAAATGGATCCATTGTTAGTCCTGTCTTTCTGATCAATACCTTTGTCTAAATTCTGCCGACAGACCCAAACCATCCGGTTCAAGTCAGCCCAGTTCTCTTCTGCCTCTTGTGAATTGTTTGTTGAGCATTTTCAATTCTTCTTCTAGGAGACTGATGACTCCCAATCAGGTGACATTTTAATATGCCTAGCAGTAAAAGCATTTATCTAAGCCAAAAAAAAAAAAAAAAAAAAAAGAAACCAAAGTCTTATCTACTGGCATAATGTGTTTATCTCGATGAGTTTTGTCACATAAATGAAATAAAAGAGGGCCAAAAATCATGTTATTCCAGAAACATTCTTCCCCTAATATTTATAATGCTATGTTAAGTAGGAAAAATTCAGCAAATGATCAATTTAGAGAAAAGGAGCCTTTTTATTTGGAATCTACCCATTAACTTAAAAACCACAAATCTTGTTTTATACAATAATGTATTCCTCCTCCCAATCTCAATATATTATCAAGTCATAATGAATAAGTTTATATCTCATTTCACAGAATAACAAAAATAGAAGGGGTATCCCCTCAATGTATAAATGAGGAAACTGGGACTCAGAGAACAAATTGCTTCAGATTAATTCAGCTAGTCCAAGAAAAGGGATGAATAATCAAAGCCTAATTCCAATGTGGTCAAAAATAAGAAAATAGAGAAAGGTACCTGGAAAACCTACAACCAAAGGCACGGCCTCCCAAAACCTGGATCTACAGAGCCAACTTTTACCCATGGCAGCTTTGGGAGCATCTCTGAAGAGCAGATTAAGAAATGTGGCAGAGCTTATGTCTGAAAGGTCTGGAGACCAGGATGGCAAGTGGTAGCTGTCCACAAGTTACAACCAGTAATAAGCAGGGGCATCATCCACCTAGGGCTGGCCCATCAAAGGTGTGGGCATTGTGGCCATGGTTACAGGGACCACCTGAGGAGAAGGGAGAAGTCCAGACTCCAGGTGTCTGTTGATTTTTAGGATATGGTCTTGACCATATTCTCCTCCTATAGGCTGAGAACTAAAAATAAAAGAGAGCAGGTAAGTGTATCAAGAACACAGATTTAGCCAGAGAACACAAATGTTCTGCTAGCACCATGGAGATCTCATATATGTATAGATACTGAAAACCAGACAATTGACCTTAGCCCTGGTTTGAGCATCATGACAACCCCTGGGCTGGGAAGTAATAATTCAGACAATAGAGGTTTAGCTGGTGAAAAGTGTCTGGGGCTCACTTCTTAGCCTACCCTTTGCAATTTCTTTTTATTCATTTTAACCTAATATCACCTGCATACAAATGTTTAGTGATGAAGGAGGGTAATGGTATGAGTGTGAGAGAGTTCTGGAAGTCTCCTCCCAAGAGCATCAGCTAAAGTTTTATCCACTTCAGAACAAGTCCATACCCAGGCCCGAGACATCACCAGTTACAGGCAAAAACACTCATTGACAGCCAGAAGAAGAAACCACAATCAGAGAGAGGGATACTGCAGAAGGAGGATTAAGACACTCACTCTCTCACACAATTTTCTAAGCAAAGAATTTAAAAGACAAGAGACATGAACCCAGCCTTTCTTAAATCCCTTATTATTGACTGTAAGCTTCTAAGCAAAATTGATTTCCCCTGTTCCCAAATAATACTCCACCCACTCCAGTGGCCAATAGCTCCATCAAAGGTGTAGGCATTGTGGCCATGGCTACAGGGACCACCTGAGGAGAAGAGAGAAGTCCAGGCTGCAGATGTCTGTTGATTTTTAGGATGTGGCCTTGACCATATTCTCCTTCTTTAGGCTGGCAACTAAACATAAAACACAGAACAGCTAAGTGTATTGAGAATATAGACTGAGCCAGAGAGCGTAAAGCTGCTCTGCTAGCACCGTGGACAGCGAAGCCCAGTCTCAGTAGGCTCATGTGCTATTTGGGGTCACCTGCCCTCCCCACTCACCTGCTGCCTTTCTATAGCAGAGTGTCACGACTCAGCTGGGAGTGCTGGTGATGGCTTCACACATAGTCAAGGGGGCTGGACACTGCTATTAATATAGCCCACTTTTCCCCTTAGTACTTTCTCCCTGCAGTGATTCATTCCACCTGCAAGTACTTGAGCTGTACCTGGGTGGCTCATTCATTTGCAAAAAATAATTTCACAAGCATTTAAAAAAAGTAGGCAATTAGCTTACTCTTAATCTTAATATGCCACCTGGCTAGCAGGTGGTCTCCTGCCCCAAGCAATGATGCAGGCATTCTGGAGTCATCTCTGCCTCTTGCTGTATATGTTACTTTGTCTCTATCACCAAGATGCTTTCAAATGTTCCTCCTTAGAAAATCTCAAGTTCTCAACTGAGCCTGTTATAGAAAAAGAGTTCCAAACCCTTTTGGCAGCTGCCATCTAAAAACTCTGTTTTCCATATTTAGCTAGAGTCCACAGTTTTCACTGAACTCATTCGTAACGTAAGTATCAACCACTCTTCAGAGAAATTTGCTGGGAGGGATGTTTCATGTAGCACTCCCAAACCAGAGCCCGCCTGGAATAATCCCACTCACATAATGCCAAAAGAACCAGAAACAGCCCCTGGAAAAAACTTAAACGTCAGTTGCTCCTTGCTCTTCAAATGAGCATTAAGTGTAGATTTCTGCTGTTCCTCCCTAACCCCCACCCCAAAACTGTTTCTCCCACTGACTTCTAGGACAGCTTACCTGAAGGGTGAGGTGATGAGAAAGTTGAGCAAGATGAAACATTAAAGCTAAAGAACACAAATGAAGGCAAGGACATTTGTCCAGCCTCTTCTTCCTCATTCTCCAGCTCTGTCTCTGCCATGTGCACAAAATTACCCATTTGGGCACATTTTTACCCCAGAATTCTAACTCCTCTCTGTTCAAGCCTTTACAATGACCACCAGAGAGTACCCCCTCATCCCTGCCCTCATGCTAGAACTTCCCATCAAGATAAACTAATCTTGGTAATGGTTCTTACCCAGAGGAGCACATTGGAATCACCGGTAGAGGAGGTGTTTGTTATATATATATGTTATATATATATATATTTATATTTATATATATATTATATATATTTTATATATAATATATATAAAATATATATGTAACCCACTATATATATATAACCCACTATATATATATATATATATATAAAATACTCATGCCTGGTGTTTACTCTGGAGGTGCTCATTTAGTAGCCTATAATGGAGGTCTTGAATCTAAACTTTTTAATAGCATCATGGATAAGTTGGATGCACTCTCAGTTGTGACGCTCTAGCTTAGAGCCTTTCTGGGGGCTTGTAAGAAATACAAAGCCATGAGCCTACCCTATGCCTACTGTGTTAGAATCTGCATGTTAACAAGACCCTCAGGTGATCTGTATGCACATTAAAATCTGAGAAGCACTGGCTTAGAGCACATACAGGTCAACAGGTTACTGTTCACACCAGCGACTACACGTTTAGTGCTTTATATAATGAAGACTTTACCCTTGTTAAGGGAATTTCACATATCTGGGAGCTTGATCCTACAGAAGCAGAAAATAAATATGGGAGCCTGAGGCCTTACAGGCACTTTAAAAATCACATCATGAGTCATGGGGACAGATTCCTATTTTGTTTATGCGTAAGGCCGGACCTTTGAATTTTCTTTTCTTTTTGAGACAGGTCTTATTCTGTTTCCCAGGCAACAACAGAAGTTTTCGCATGGGGGTGGGGGTGAGGGGGAACTGTCTGGTGGTCACTGTAAAGGCTTGAACAGAAAGAAGTCAGGGTGAAAAATATACCCAAATGGGTGATTTGTCCACATGGCTGAGACAAAGTGCAGTGTTGCAATCTTTTTCTTTCTTAATTATGCATTTTAAATATCAATATATGCATTTGTTTTTATAGTTATAGATTTTCTCATCTGTTTTAGACAACAGCTTGTAATAGTTTTGAATCCATTAAGATGTTGCTTTCAATTTGAAATATTTTGTGTACACATGTATATAAAAAATAACCCAATGATGACTCATCTGACAGATGTTTAAGATCAATAAAGGCTTATTTTTCAACTTGCAGTTAGAAAGAAAGGGAAGCAAGCCAATCTCTCTACGCTGTCTTTTTGCTGGCTTGTTTTTGCAGTGGTATCAATAGTGGTTTCTGGAGGGAACCACATGCCTTTAGCCTATCTAGTTAAGATCAGATACCACAATCAACAAGAGGGGTAGAAGGGATGAGGAAGGGGGAGTGGGTGAGTGTTAAATTTCAATTTTTTAAGTATGCATTTTGTACTCTTTCTAGGTATAGGATTAAAAACAGGCCAATGAGGAAAAATTGTCACAATTGTTATAAATTGTTTATATTGTTACAAAACTGAAATCAAATCAAGACATAATAGCTGAATTAAGTTCTTTTAATAGATTGCATATATGGGTGTTTAGCCATACTCTTAGATCAACTCTTTCACAGTAGAACTTCATATCCAGTTAACATGCTCTAGATACCACCTTTCTTATTTTTTATAGTAAGGTCTGGTATTTAAATACTCACTTCTACACTGACAGCTTTAAGAAAAACAGGACACAGAGGGAGTTGTCATTTTTAGCAGCAATGAAATACCACTAACCCATTTTTACATACTGAATTCAAGTCCCTGTCAGAAGTGAGTGGACCACGAAGTCACCAGGTACAAAATTGCTAGTTCATTTTTAAATTAATAACTTGAAATTATCCTTGCCCCCCACTCCATTACATCTTTTTATAAACAGCAAACATTTTGCTATTTTATGCATAGGCTAGCAGGCTTGTTTCAATATGAAAGTGCTAACTCATTTACAGAGTTTTATAATCAGTTATGTAGTGCTACAATAAATGTCCAATAATCTACATAGGAACAATGAAGAATAAAAATGATGAAGATTGAATAAGGCTATCAGATTACCTTATCTTATTCGCATATAAAGAATAGATACCCAATGGTGAGGAAGAGACAGAAATTGGACAAATTCTCACAGGTTTAAAAATTACATCTACCTTTGAGCTTTATACTGTAAATGAGACATTTTAAATAGTCCTGTAGCCCATGCCTATTTTTTCCTCAGAAAAAGAAAAGCTGCCTTCATGACATCCCCTTTTGTTTTCAGATTTCCACAGTGTCACTTTGAAGCTTCAGAGTCAGGATCTTACTTTCTTCAAAAAATAAAGAAAATACACCCCCTAAGGTACCTCCAATCCCCCCCACCCCCAAAATCCCACTGGTTTCTTTTCCAGTGCCAGGTTGCATGATCAGGTCCCATCTCCTGGGGTTGTTGTTGTTGTGATTTTTTTTCTGTCCATCTACTGATCATTAGTTTAGAATAGATAACATGAACCAGTTCTAGAACCACTACTAGGAGGAACACAAGCTCTTCACTACAATCACACAGTAGGAAAGAAAGAGATAACTCAATTCATCCCTGGTACTGGGCCTCCAAAATTGAAAGAACTTGGCACAACTGGAGCACTGAATTTGTATCCTCCATGCTTCTCAATCATTTTGGATTCATGAGCTGCTCTTCTTTGATTGGCCAGAGTTACTGTGTCTGTAACTGTTTTCTTTGTTCTTCATTAAGACCATGAGTCAGACCCTGATCCCACACAGGATTATGATTTCGAATGGTTTGAAAGATAGCTTTAAATACCTGATACTCATCAACAGGGTTATCTTCATCATCAATGATTGTGGAATAGCCTTCCAGAGCAGTCTCTTCAGCATCACCTTCTTCCCAATCTTCATCATCTCCATCTTCACCTGCCTGCTTAGCCAGAATCTCCAAATATTCTTTCCCATCTTCATCAATATCATCTTCATCACTCCCCAGTTCCTCGGTTTCATCATCATATTCAGCTTCATCATCATCACTGTCATTCTTGTGTTCTGCATGGCAGGCATATGCTCTTTTTAATCCATTAAATAAAAGGATAAAAGCTGGCAAAATCTGTCCAGAAACCTGATTTAAACCTTGGGGTATCTGTTCCATATCAATAAGAGCACAGAGACTGAGAACACACATCCTTCTGTCATGAAGCCCCAAGAAACAGTCAACATCATTAAGCCACTAATAAAATGATTTGTAACTGGTTCAACATTATTAGGGAAGTGAAGATTTTCTAAGGTATTTAGTAATAGGTATGCATTATAATGTAAAGCTGCAATTGCAACTTGCATACCCATAGTTCAAAGTTCACTTGTCTTAACCTCTCTTGGCAGTCTTTCTAAGGCTGCTTCCACGAATAAGGGAATGCACTGGTCAACGTGACGCCCTTTGCACTGCAGAACGATGACCTCTAACAATTTTGCCGTATGACACGCTGCATCTTCTCCTGCAACTACTGGAAGAATCTTTTGTGCACATACTGTATATCATTTCAAGATACTTGGTATCAGACAGAAGTGTCTTGGTATCAACTGTTACATAATTATAAAGGAGGGGCATCATATCTGTAAAGTAATCAAAGCCATCTTGCTGAAAGACTTCAAATACAAGGGGTAGTAGCTGCCACATCTGTGGAGACACTTGTTGACATGTCAGGCTATGCGCTAAAGAGATGTCCTCATAGAATTCTGAGACATGCTGTTGTAAAACAGTACCAATGACCTGTAAGCAGATTCCCTCAAGCTGTTGGGTTATCTCTTTATGATCTTCAACTACACTAAGAAGTGTGTCAATTGTATTCAGAATTCCCATAGCAGTAACTGCTTTGTCATCACTACCTTCTTCATCTGGCCCTGTCTGGATTACTTGGCTAAATGTCATTGCCAACTGTTGTGTCATTTCTACTGCAATAGGAGTAACTTCTTCACTATTTTCACAGATCATTTTCTGAATTACATTGGTAAGGTCATCATTTTCTGTTTCTGTTATAATATGAAGAAGAGCCTGCATTACAGGTCTGATAAATGCTGTGATACATTCTTTAGATTTTTCTTGATTGCTGATAAATACTTGAAGGACAATGGCAGCTTCCACTTTCACAGGCATGTCTCTGTCATCAATCAGACATCTTCTTGTTAGCTCTAAAGCTGTTTGAATGTTCTGATCACTTTTGAACTTTACTTCACAAAAATAGTGAAGTACTCAGCAAGCCCTTGCTCTCATGTAGCCTAGTTCACTGCTGAAGAGAGAGAACACATGATTCTGCAACATGTATTCCATCTGATCATTACAGATCTTTTTCTTCAGAAGTGTTTCAGCTAAAGAGCCAATCATGCAGGGCTCCATCTTTTTTTCAAAGGTCAGCATTGGGTTCTGTAAGAATCTGGTAACAAAATCCCATAGTCTTTTGAAGTACCTCCTTCCTCTTACTATGGGCTGTAAACAAAAGCTTCTGGGCAGCAGTGGCAAAGGAAATGAAATCTTCAGACACATCAAACTTCATGCGTATATACTCGTAAGGGTCTTCTTCCCAAAGTTCCTCATCAGCATCTGTATAACACATCAATGGAAAAATAACATCTTGGATAATGCCTTGTATATGGGGCTTCAGATTCTTCCAGGTGAGAGCATGAGAAACTCCTTGATTAATAGAATTTAATGTCTGTTGTAAAACTTGAGGAGCCATATATTGCTTCTCGTTGTACTGTTATAACACTTTCAATAAAACTTGCTGGACACCAACAACAAATTCCTTCAGAAATACTTGAGCAAATTCATTATACTCCTAGGAAACACTGCCAGAGCTTCCATATCTTTCAAAAAGTCTTGCTAAAATATGTAAGGCCCACTTCTTGCATTTCCATTATGATAACTCAGGTCGGTCATCTTCTTCAATTCGAAGTGTTTCAGTCTTTAAAATTTCTACCCATTCTGTCAGGTTCTGTTGGTTTATCAGTTCCAGTGGTATAGAGTATAGAGTATATACTGAACAAGAGCATAGAGTATATACTGAACAAGATCATAGAAGATCTTGAATATTTGTTTCTGGATGACGACAGACTGATCAGACTGGTCAGAAAGAAGCTGGATAAAATGATCCTTTAGAACTGACAGAAAATGCTGCATTGCTGCTACCAATGGACTCCACTCCTCTAGTTTTTTATACTCATAAGTTTTCACAAGCTGATAAAGGCAAATAATTCCTATCCAACAAGCACTGTTATCACACTGAAGATAAAAGCCAGTTTTGTCCACAATGGCAGTCCAGCAGCTTGGATAATCACGTTTGGTGATGTGATGAATGCATGTAGTAAGCTGTACCCTGATGAGCTCAGGAGGATGGATAATGGCTTCTACAATATTTTCTCAAATACAATGGCAATCTTCTTCTGGAATAGTATAAGGGGATATATACTTTTGTGCTGTTTCTTGACCAGGCCAATACTGTGTTATATTTTTCAAATAGATAACACCTGCCTGTCTCACAGGTAAATCCAGCTGTTCCGACATAGTAATCTGGAGCAGCGTTGAGACAAAATTCAGAGATTTGTGTGCTTCATTGAGCTGGCGCTCCATGGCCTCTTGCAGGGCTGGGTCCATGGTGCCCCGCAGGGCCTCGATAATGGTGTTGGGGTCCATTGCAGCATGAACTAGGTCAAACCCAGGGCTTGAGTGCTACTGGGCCAGGAATAGCACTACTCACTGCACACATGGACCTGCCGCAGCGGCAACTGGCGCAAAAGGGCAATGGTGCAATCTTAACTCACTGTAACCTTGAACTCCTGGGCTCAAGTGATCCTCCCACCTCAGCCTCCCAAGTAGCTGGGACTGCAGGCTCACGCTACCATGCCAAGCTGATTTTGTGTTGTTGTAGAGATAGGGTCTCACTATGTTGCCCAGGCTGGTCTTGAACTCCTGGTCTTAAGCAATCATCCTGCATCAGCCTCCCAAAGTGCTGGATTTACAAGCCTGAGTCACCATGCCTGGCCAATATTTTCAATAGTTAGAGGCAGGATTGAAAAACAATTCCTTTTTGCTTTGCTCAAAATAAGTATTTATGAGCATCCACTTACGAGTTACTGTGCTAGATGCTGGACATACAAATAGAAATAAGACCCAGTTACTGCTGTTGTGGAAAGGGCAACATTAGAGAAATGTTCAGGAAATGGAGGAAAGGCCCTTATCTCAGCTTAAGGAAGCCTTAACTCACTATTGTTTGGCTGAATCTCAAAAATGTACAAACCAATAGGAGTGTCCCCTTCTTCCCTACAGATTCCCTGAAGCCAGTGGGCTGTCTGGCAGGAAAACCAAATACTAACTGTGATTTGCCCATTCTAGAAGGTAAGAGAAGGGATTCAGGGCATGCGTGTAAAGTTAGGCTTTGATGACTTGTGTTAGAAGGTTCAGGAAGAAAGCCGCATCACTTATCCCCTATGGAAAAAAAGGAATGGCCAAGAGAACTTCCTTGAATCCATGAAGAGCTTCCAAAAAGAGAAATTTTAAGTTTAGGGATGATAAGGAGCAGAAAGGCTTGGTCTGCTTTACCTGGTGAGCCTATCAATGCACCCACCAAGCACATGCTTGTTACCCAGCAGAGTGTTGGGCACTAGGGGGTGGAGGAGGATAGAATCTAAGATTACTTTTAGCTCTGAAAATCTCAAGACCATCTAAGTTAGGCTCTTCATTTTACAAAAGACAAAGTGCAGACCCAGAAAAGGCCTTATCCAAAATCACATTACTAGCTCTTGAGTACAAGATTACTAGCAGGCTGCAATCTGGGAAGATGGCTGAAGTGGACTTGACATCATATTAAACTCCAGCATCAGTACTTTGGGCAACATGTAGTCACCAGAGGTCTCTGAGCTGGTGACCAGCTTAGTTAAAACCACTTTCCCCCTTGATAATAGTAAATGCCATTTCCAGTTAAGTTACAGATGACAGATTTTATGGAATGTTTCCACCTTAATGTGCGAGATCTGAATGGTACCTCCATCACTGACATTACATTTTGTTTCTCAACCCTCCTCTTCACAGCTCTTATTAGGAAATCGGGGAAAGTCAGGTGCTGAGGCCCAAAGGAGCTGTGCCTTGCTGGTGTTCCCTCATGAAAGGCTGCAGCCAGAACTGTGTCCTTCCTTCTCAATGCAGGTCTCTATGCTAAACTTGTTCACCCTCTGTTCCAGAGCTTTAGGTGCTCCACACGAAGTACTCTTGAACTCTGTCAACCCTGACCTCTCCCCTGTCATGTAGAAAGGCCTCAAGTGGTAGTTTTTGGAGCTCCCGATCATACAAGCACATGCACCCTTCTCAGGAGAGGGCAATTAGGAAACCTGCTGCTAACTAGAGGTGCCATGGCAGGTGCCAACTGGATCAGTGCAGGATGGAACAGCACATTCCAGACAGCCTCATGAGTTCATTGCTAAGGGTAGAGCTAATTTACAGGAAACATGCAGAGGGTTTGACTGGATCCCCTCTGATACCAGCTGAGCCCAGCTCTCACATGCCTATGGCATGGAGTGGATGGTGCTGGGGCAGGCTTCTCTCAGCCTGACAGCAGAGTAGCTGTCTCCACTATTGAGCCAGGTGTGACCCCAGAATGCCATCTCTACCCCCTCAGCATGGTAGCAATGCCACGGCAGTGAGGATGTGGGGAATGAGGAGCAGCTTAGGAGAGACTAAGGCATTGCAGGACTGAGGTCCACTATGCAGCTCCAGGTCCCCCTACTATGCTCCTTCAAGAACAGTGTTGGTAGTAAGAGATTATCACCAAGTTCCTCTCAACTCAGCAAAACAAGTGGGGAAGCGAGAAAACAAAGGAGGAGGAAGATAGCTTCCTGTGCTGTGAGGACTAATTGCAAGCAAAATATGTGTCAGCTGCCACTGCTCACAGTAAACACTCAACGGATGGTAACCCTAAGGGTTTGGGCTGCAGCTTTAGTGCCCAAATCCTACCTCTATGGAGGGAGTGAGACACTTGGACAACAACAATCAAGGCAGGTGGAGAAAATTCTGGTTTTGCTTGTCCCAAAACAAATCACCTCACCCATAGCAGTGTAAGACAACTAGCATTTTACTATGTTCACAGATTCTGAGCACGAGAAATTTAGAAAAGGCCCAGCAGGATGGCTTGTCTCTCTTTCTTATACCTGGAGCCTCAGCCGGAAAGATTCAAAGACTGGGATGACTTAGTTGGAATCATCTATGAGCCAGTTCATTCACATAACTGGTGGTTGACCCATGCTGTCAGCTAGAACCTGAAGCTGTAAGCTGGAACACCTATACATGGCCCTTCCATGTGGCTCTTTGAATTTCTTTACAGAATGGTAGCTGGGTTCTAAGAGCAGGTGTCCCAAACAAATCACACAGAATCTGTATGACCTTTGATGACTTAGCCTATCACTATAATGTGACTTCTGCCATAGCCACAAGGCTTTCCAGGTTCAAGGGTAGAGAACAAGTATCAAAGGCAAATTTTTAGAAGAACATGTGGAATGGAAGGTAATGTTAAAGCTATCTCTGGAATATACAATCTGCTTCATTTGTCAAGCTAAACATATGCCCCCATAGTCTCCCAATGCAGAGATATTATGTACAATGTCTGGAACAAATATTTTCATATGACAGCTCATTAATTCAGTCCTTACAATAATACTGCAAGGTAATTTATTATTACTCCACGTTTTACCTGAAACTGAGCTCAAAAAGTTTAGATAACTTGACCAAGGTCATATAGTTTTTAAGCACCAAAGCAGTATCAAATCCAGATCTAAATCTGTTAACTACTTGTTAAAACTCAAAGCTCATAGTCTTTAGAGAACATTTTGGGTCAAACTAAATGATCTTGGTTCTAGGGCAGTAGGAATAAGGTAGCAAAGAAAAAAAAAAGGCAGCTGTTCATTTGATGCCTAAATGTTCACAGTGTACACACAATGCTGAAGCTACGCTTTGTAACTCTTAAGTGTTATTTCTTTTGCTAATAAATGCATTTTATGTAAGGAAAGACTTTGAAAAACAGTATCTCCAGATAGAATGGAAGCTGGGCCACCTTGCTAGGCTCTCCTACACCCCAATCGCATTTTCCAAAGTAGGGAGAAAGGTACAGTTCAGAACCTCTGTTTTTCAAACTGGAATAAGGCCTCTCTCTTACTTTTCCCCCAACTCTTTAAGACAGACAGTTTTTATTTTGAAACTTGGCCTAGATTGTGGGGCAAAGCACAACCAAATGAAATGGGTGAATTCCCATTTTGATCCTTATTGTCATTCTCCATCTCAGGTAGCTGATGGATCCAGGCTAAATGTGGGTCAAAAAGTATGTTATAGATCAGCTTTAGTTGAAAAAAAATGTGTATACACCAATACAACTCAATGGGGGAATAAAAACTTTTTCAACAAATAGTGTTAAGACAACTGGATATCTGCATGCAAGTGAATGAAGTTGGACCCCTACCTCACACCATACACAAAATTTAACTCAAAATGGATGATAGTCTTAATTGTAAGAACTAATGCTCTAAAACTCTTAGATGAAAATATAGGGGCAAATCTTTATGACCCTGAGTTAGGCAAAGCCTTTTTAATTGTGACACCAAAAGTACAGTCTACAGAAGAAAACTAGAAAAAATGGACTATATGAAAACCTAAACTTTTGTACTGCAAAAGATACCATCAAGCTAGTAAAAAATGCAACCCACAGACTCGCAGAAAATATTTGCAAATAAAATACCTTATAAGAGATTTGTATCCAGAATATATTACAAAAAACTCATAACTCAATAGTGAAAAAATAACCCAATTAAAAATAGGCAAAGAATCTAAATAGACATTTCTCCAAAGAAGATATAGAAATGGCCAATAAGCACATGAAAAGATGTTCAACATCCCTAGTCATACGGGAAATGCAAATCAAAATCACAATGAGACATCACTTTACACCCATTAAAATGGCCATAATCAAAACGACAAGTGTTGGTGATGATGTAGAGACATTAGAACACTGAAATTGTTGGAAGAATGTAAAGTGGTGCAGATGCTTTGGAAAACAGTTTAGCAGTTCCTCAAGATGTTAAATGTGGAGTTACCAGATGACTCAGCAATTCCACTCCTAAGTCTATACCCAAAAAAGGCAGAAACAAATGTCCATATGAAAACTTGTACATGAATGCTCATAATGTTCATAGGAACATTGTTCATAATGGCCAAAAATGTGAAAACAGCCCATATACCCATCAACTGATGAACAGATGAATTAGATGTGGTATAGCCATACAATAAATTATTATTCAGTAATAAAAAGGAATGAAATACTGATAAATGCTACAAAATATTAGAACCTTGAAAATGTTATTCCAAGTGAAATAAGCCAGTCACAAAAGACCACATATTGTACAATTCAATTTATATGAAGTGTCCAGAACAGGTAAATCTACATTTAGAGAAAGTAGATTAGTGGCTGCCTAGGGCTAGGAAATGTGAGGAGAAATGGAAAGTGACTGAAAATGGGTATGGGGTTTCTTTTGGGAGTTATGAAAATGTTCTGAAATTGATAGTGGTGATGGTTGCACAACTCAATAATATACTTAAAACTATTGAATTGTACATTTTAATTATGCAAATTGTATGGTAGGTGAGTTTTATTTCAATATTTATATCCACACACACCTACACATAGAATTATATGTATATGTTTACACACACACACACACACACACACACACACACATATATATATATATATGTGTCCAAAGCAAATTCATATTAAAGTGGGGGCAATGTCAAGTATAGAAAACCACCCACAGATACTCCTCTGCTTTAGCCTAACATGTGGCTGTGTGACCAAAGGTACTGTGAAAAGCAATTAGATGGTGTTTTCTGAAAAAAAATTTTATTGAGGTATAATTTACATGTGACAAAGTACTCCCATTTCAGTTCATAGTTTGATGTGTTTTCACAAATGTGACCACCATATAACCAACACATTCAAGATACAGAATATTTTTATTACCCCAAAAAGTCCCTTGTGCCCCTCTGTCTCAAAATGCCCAACCCTAGGCAACAATTGATCTACTTTATGTCATTTTAAGTAAGTTTTGCCCTTTTCTATAATTCCAGATAAATTAAATCCTACAGCATGTACTATTTGGGACCTGGACTTTTTTATAACTCAGGATAATATATTTGAGATTCAACCATGTGTCATGCATATCTCTAATACATTGCTTTTTTATTGCTGAGAGTATTCCCTTATATAAATAGACTAAAGTTTGTTTTGCACTCATCTGCTTAAGGACATTTGATATTTTTCCCTCATTTTAGTTATTATGAACACTGATATACAAGTTTTTGTGTGAACATATGTTTTCACTGCTCTTTGGTAAATGAACAGAAGTGGAAACACTAGGTCTTATAAGTGTATGCCTAACTTTATAAGAAACTGCCAACCTGATTTCCAAAATGTTAATACTATTCTACATACCCACAAGCAATATATGTAAGTCTTTTTAATTGTATTCATATAGTGGGTATCTCATGTAGTTTTCAATTGCCTTTCCTTGATGACTAATTAAATGGAACATCTTTTCATGTGCCTTTGGCCATTCATGTGTGCGTGTAAAGTGTCTGTCCAAATCTTTTGCCTATTTAAAAAATTTATTTTTAATTGAGTTGTATAAGTTTTTTTTAATACATTCTGGATTCAAACCTTTATCAGCTTAGTCTGTGGCTAAAAATTTCATTTTCTTAATGGTGTCTTTCTTAATAGTGCCTTTGATAAAGTCTAATGTATAATTTTTTCTTTTATGTTTCAAATGTTTTGTGTCGTAAGAAATCTTCGCATATGCCAATGTTGAAAAACTTCTAGTTTTACAGTTTTAATTTTTATGTTTCAGTATACTACCTATTTCAAGTTAATTTTTGAGTCTACAGTAAAGGGTTGAAGTTCATTTTTTGTATATGAATATCCAATTTTGTAGAACCATTTGTTGAAAGCCTATTTCCCCACTAAAATATCTTCTTAACAACATTTAATCACAAGATTCTTCATTTCCCTTTTATAGTCACACCCACTTCCTTCCAACTTTCCTTTAATCCTCTTCTCATTAACTCCTACCAACCACTAATCTGTTTTCCCTTTCTATAATTTGGTCATTTCAAGAATATTGACTATATGGAATCATAAAGTATATAACCTTTTGGGATTTGCTGTTTATTCTTTGCATTTATCCATGTATGATGTTTTTCCTTCATTTGTATAGATCTAAATTTCATTGATAGTATTTGCCTTGCATCTGAAGAACTTGCATTTTAAGTCAGCTGGTGAATAATTCTGTCAGCTTTTGTTTGCCTGAAAAAGTTTTTATTTCATATTTATTTTTGAATGGTATTTTTATTGGATATAGAATTCTAGGTTGACAGTTTGCTGTTTTTGTTACAGCTCTTTAAAGACGTCATGTCATTTTCTTCTGATTTAAAAGTTTCTGACAAGACATATGTGAGTATTGTTATCTTTGTTCCTCTGTATGTAATTTTTTTGTCAGCTCTTAAAATTTTCTCTTTATCAATTTTGTTCAGTAATTTGATCATGAACTCCTTTGGTGTGATTTTATTTTGTGTTTATCCTTCTTGGAGTTGTTGACCTGCTTGGATCTATGAGTTTATAATTTTCATAAAATATGAAAAGTTTTTAGCCACTACTTGTGATATTTTTTCTGCCCTTCATCCTTTCTGGGACTCCAGTGATATGCATATTTACAATAGCTGCTTAAAAGACCTTGTTTGTTAATTCTATTTTCTCTGTCATTTTAGGTCTATTTCTGTTAACTGATTTTTCTCCTAGTTATAAGTCGTGTGTGTGTGTGTGTGTGTGTGTGTGTGTGTGTGTGTGTGTGCTTTTAGGCATGCCTGGTAATTTTGGATTGGATGCTGGACATTGCGCCTTCATATTGTTGAATGCTGGATATTGTCCTCTTTAATGGATGTTGAACTGTGCTCTTACTGGCAGTTAACTTAATTACATATCAGCTTGATCCTTTTTTAGGCTTTATTAAAACTTTATTAAGTAGACTTTACTCTAGGGCTTATTTAGTCCTATAACTAAGCTGTGACTTATTTTGGAATGCCCTCAATATTAAGCAAGGACCCTAAATTTACCCTGGCTGGTCATAACTCAAACTTCTACCAGCCCTGTATTGCCTCTGGAAATATTCAACTTACAGATACCTGGTAGTTCTTTGCCTGGCTTGTGCAATTTCAGCCTACATATAGCAGTCAGCTGTAGTTACAAGAGGAATGCTATAAAGATCCTCAGCATTTTCTCTACTGAGCACATTCCAGCCACTCAGCCTCTTCAAATTCAAATTTTTGTCTTCTCAACTCTGTGATATCATGCTCTTCTTGAGTGTGTATTGTGGTCCAGAAAGTATCTCCAGGCAGAAAGTTGGTATTATCATAGGTCTTATCTCATTTGTTTCCTTTCTCTGAGGAGTCACAGAACTGTACTAATTACCAAAAGGAGTTTTTTTCATAGATTTTTGTCTGGTTTTCTAGTTGTTTACAGTAAGAGAATAAGTCCAACTCCATTCACTCTCTTGTGTCTGGAAGTAGAAATCACTGATATTATCTATGTTAATACAGTGAAAAAACATCCAGTGTTGTCCCTCTTTCCATCCTCACCCCCACACCTCCACCACTAATACTGTCTCAGTGATGTGCAATATCCAAGGCTTGATTTAGGTCTAATGAATATCTCTCAACACAGAACACTTTGGGTTTCCCAGCACAAGAATTGAAAAAAGCACATGGTACTCTCCCAGCTGAGATTCTTAGCCTCTTTTTTCCCCTACTGTGAGCAGTGTCACCCAGGTGCCCTCACTCATCTATTTTAAATACACTCACCATCTCTGCTAACAGCTTCAGCCTCTGTTAATCAGGTAGCTTTTCATTAATGTTCTTATCCTTGTCCCAGCATCTTATTTGTCATGCTTTATTAGTAGACATGATAAGTCATAAATCTTAGTTCCTCTTAGCTTCTTAGTATCTGTTGTCAAGTTGAAGATCCCAGACAGAGGGAGATGAGAACTGGTTCATTACAGAGTGACTCTTTCTAATATCTCCTTGGTTCTTTATGATACTAATACATTCTTCCCACTGCAGTTGCCTTTTTCTCTATTTAGCTCCAATACAATTCATAGAAATGAGATCATTCGGCTTAAGGGTACATTATCTTCACTTCAACCCATCCTTCTTTAAGATGAACAATGCTGCCTTTAGATTCTGATACTGGCTCTGCCACTTATTAGCTGGATAGCCCCAGACAATTTACTGACTCTGAGTTTGTTTCCATACTTATGGAATAGGGAAAATATATTCTGCATATCTCATGGAGTGGCAACAAAAGCCAAAATTGACAAATGGGATCTAATTAAACTAAAGAGCTTCTGCACAGCAAAAGAAACTACCATCAGAGTGAACAGGCAACCTACAGAATGGGAGAAAATCTTCACAACCTATTCATCTGACAAAGGGCTAATATCCAGAATCTACAATGAATGCAAACAAATTTACAAGACAAAAACAAACAACCCCATCAAAAAGTGGGCAAAGGACATGAACAGACACTTCTCTAAAGAAGACATTTATGCAGACAAAAAACACATGAAAAAATGCTCACCATCACTGGCCAACAGAGAAATGCAAATCAAAACCACAATGAGATACCATCTCACACCAGTTAGAATGGCAATCATTAAAAAGTCAGGAAACAACAACTGCTGGAGAGGATGTGGAGAAATAGGAACACTTTTACACTGTTGGTGGGACTGTAAACCAGTTCAACCATTGTGGAAGTCAGTGTGGCAATTCCTCAGGGATCTAGAACTAGAAATACCATTTGACCCAGCCACCCCATTACTGGGTATATACACAAAGGACTATAAATCATGCTGCTATAAAGACACATGCACACGTATGTTTATTGCGGCATTATTCACAATAGCAAAGACTTGGAACCAATCCAAATGTCCAACAAAGATAGACTGGATTAAGAAAATGTGGCACATATACACCATGGAATACTATGCAGCCATAAAAAAGGATGAGTTCATGTCCTTTGTAGGGACATGGATGAAACTGGAAATCATCATTCTCAGTAAACTATCGCAAGAACAAAAAACCAAACACCGCATATTCTCACTCATAGGTGGGAATTGAACAATGAGAACACATGGACACAGGAAGGGGAACATCACACTCTGGGGACTGTTGTGGGGTGGGGGGAGGGGGGAGGGATAGCATTGGGAGATATACCTAATGCTAGAGGACGAGTTAGTGGGTGCAGCGCACCAGCATGTCACATGTATACATATGTAACTAACCTGCACATTGTGCAGATGTACCCCAAAACTTAAAGTATAATAATAATAAATTAAAAAAAACAAAATATATACATAATATGATCTCGGCTATGGAAAAGAAAAACATTCAGTGGAAAAAAGCTTAAAGGGAAGAGCACCAAAAAAAAAAAAAAAAAAAGATCAAGCAAGATAATCGATGTTAAGTACTTTATATAGTGCCTGTACCATGGTAAATGCTTAATAATTGTTAGCTATGATGACAATAATGATGATTAAAATGGTCTTTCCATACACTCTGCATACCATCCCTCTGACTGACCTGATGATTATAATTATTCCCTAACTACTAGCAAAGAAGCTTCAATCTCCCTTCACTTCTGCTTTTAAACAGTTTTCTCCTATTTTACAAAAAAGAGTGTGTCCTTTTCTTCCCTTTTCCAGCTCTTCATAAACACAGTGTATTAGTCCATTCCTTCATTGCTATAAATAAATACCTGAGACTGGGTAATTTATAAAGAAAAGAGGTTTAATTGTCTCATGGTTCTGCAGGCTGTACAGAAAGCACGATGCTGACATCTGCTCAGCTTCTGGGGAGTCCTCAGGAAACTTACAATCATGGCAAAAGGTAAAGGGGGAGCAAGGTGTCTTACATGGTAGAGTAGGAGCAAGAGAGAGAGTGGGGAGGTGCTACACACTTATAAACGACCAGATCTCATGATAACTCACTCACTCACTATCATGAGAACAGCACTGAGCAGATGATGCTACGCCATTCATAAGAACTCTGCCCCCATGATCCAATCACCTCCCACCAGGTCCCACCACCAATAGTGGGGATTATCATTAAACATTGGATTTGGGTGGGGACACAGATCCAAACCATATCACGTGGTTTTTCATTTCTGACTCTTCTACCCAATTTATTCTTAATTCCTTTCAATCAAGCTTTTATCCTCAATACTTTAATTTTCTGTACAAGTTACCAATCACCTGTGAGCCACATGAAATATTATTTTCAAAGTCCTACTATTCCTTTCAAGTCCTACTGGGCTTTCTGTAGCTTTTGACAGAATTGTCCATTTTCTCATTTTTCGCTACCATGACCACTGAACTATCATTTTTCATTTTCTACTGGTGGTAGATTAAATTACAGGTATTACTTCTTGCTTCCCCTAAGCAACATTATTCATTCCCATGCAATGGTCTTGTATGTAACAGAATCCCCTGCTTCTTGTCTTTCAACGTGACCATATGACTTTGAAAAATGAGATATTGGAAGGTGTATCATGAACAAAGATTTGAAATGTGCTTGAATAGTTGGAGTTTCCCTCTTTTAAAAAATTTTTATATTTCTAAATCTTTATTTATTTATTTTTTAGAGACATCTCACTCTGTTGTCCAGGCTGGCGTTCAGTAGGGCGATTATAGCTTACTGCAGCATTCAACTCCTGGGCTCAAGTGATTCTCTCTCCTCAGCCTACCATGTAGCTGGGACTACAGGTGCATGCCACTGTGCCCAGCTTATTTTTTTTTACTTTTTGTAGAGATGGAGAGGGTCTCACTGTGTTTGCCAGGCTTGAACTCCTGACCTCAGCCATCCTCCTAATTCAGCCATCCTCCTAACTCAGCCCCCCAAAGTTCTGGGATTACAGGCATGAGCCACCAGGCCCAGCCCTAGGGTTCCCATCTTATGCCCCTGATTCAAAGACATAAAAAGAAAAGAAAATACAAAAATAATATGTGAATCAAGAGAAATTACTCCAGATACAGTCAATAGTAAATAATCATAGGGAGATTTATGAAAATAAAAGACTTAAAGAATTTCAAAAAGTCAAACAGACCAATAATTACAATAGACAATGAGATAGTAGTGAAAAAATAGATAAATATAATTCAGTTAAGTGGAATTGAGAGGCTCTAATTCAGTTCTTAAAGCTTCTACATGATTCTAATATGCAGTCAAGTTTGAGTCACTGGTCTAACTTAGTTTTGATAGTTTTAGTCCAAGGCTGGGGATTAATTTAGCCCTGCGCACGTGACATAATTCTGGCCAATGAAGCACAAAGAAAAGTCTACTGAGGTTGGAGAATATAAGCTTCTTGGAAAAGTTTCTTCACTTTTAAAAGGAGTCAAAGAAAAAAAAAGTCTTCTACATCTGCTGGGCACTGTAGCAGCTGCATGTAGCCCTGGAAGTCTGGCAAAGGGCAATGCCCATGTGGAGGTGAAGGACAGGAAAGACAGAAGAAACCTGATGCTGTCTTTGAGTCACTAAATTAAACAGTGCTGAAGAAGCTGTACATTAAGACATCTCACAATGTAAGAGAATAAATTTTCCTGCTGTTTAAGACAATTCAAGTTAGATATTTCTATTACTTAGAGCTGAAAGCATCCTGATACTATGACTAAGCAGGACTTACCCTAGAAATATAAGAAGTGGCCAATATTAGAAAATCTGGCAAACATGCCATACTTTCTTCTGTATATACTCCAGAATAACTCTCTCAAAGGTCTCATGGAAACATGAACAGGGATATTCATCACAGCACTATTCACAAATAGTGAATACCAAGGCAAGAGAGGAAACCTAAGTCCACCACAAAGAATTCGATAAGTAAAATGTAGTAGTTTTGCACAGCACTGAATACTGTGCAGAACCATGTCAGGCACAATACAATAGATTTTTATATTTTTTCATCAATATATACACACATATTCATATACATATAGCAGCATACATACATATATATATCAGCATAGCTATAATGCCAAAGATCATAGTGTTTAATGAAAAAAAGGAAATATATTAATAGCACAATACCTTTTAAGTAAATTAAACTCATATACCCCTAACATATACACATAACCCAGTGCATATTTCTCAGGGTTACGTATATCTCCAAATACACAGACTGAAGGCAGAATGGTGGATTAAAGGGGTAAGAACAACAGCAAAGAAACAAACCAAGGTTGATAGTGTTCCACACACTCAGGAGTATGATTAATTCAATTTCCTACACTTGAAGGGAAGGAAGGAAGGAGGAAATGAAAAAGGAAGGCAAAAGAAGAGAAATGGATACCTATCAATGTAATTCACCACATTAAGAATTGAAATGAAACATATGATTCTTCTCAAGAAATACAGAAGCATTTGATAAAACTTTCATGAATTATTCTTAATAAACCAAGATTTAAAAAGCAATGCTTTAATCCGGAAAGAATATCTATCAGAAACCTAGAGTCAAAATTACCTTTAATAGTAAAATTTCAAAAGCTTTCCCATTAAAGTCAGGAACAAGCAAGAAAGCCTATATGACCACTGCTGTTGAATATTCCACTGAAGGTCCAAAAAATACAGTAGGAATGAAGAGTCATAATGATTAGAAAATGAGTTAAAATTCTAAGTGTAGGTTATATATTTGTCTATATAGGAAATGCAACTGAATCATGAGTAAAACTTATTAGAACTATTAGGAGGGTTTAGGAAACTTGCTGGTTATAAATCTATGCACAAAAATCAATAGCAATATTTTGGCTGGGCGCAGTGGCTCATGCCTGTAATCCCAGCACTTTGGGAGGCCAAGGCGGGCGGATCACTTGAGATCAGGAGTTTGAGAACAGCCTGACCAACATGGTGAACCCCATCTCTACTAAAAACACAAAAAATTAGCTGGGTGTGGTGGCGGGTGCCTGTAATCCCAGCTACTCGGGAAGCTGAGGTGGGAGGATCGCTTGAATCCAGGAGGTGGAGGTTGCAGTGAGCTGAGATCACACTACTGCACTCCAGCCTGGGCTACAGAGCAAGACACTTTCTCAAAAAAAAAAAAAAATAAATCAATAGCATTACTCTGAGAAGCAATAATCAATTAGAACATCTAATAAGAAAAAAACAGACCATTCATGATAGCAACAAACAATGTAAAACATCTAGGAATAAACAAAAATGTGCAGAGCATTTATGGAGAAAGTTATCAGGACTACATCACAGGAAATGTTTAAAAATTCCTGAATAAATGGAGAAATAAATCATTAACTATAAAACCCAATATTATTAAAATATTAATTCTTCCGAAATTGTGTTAAAAATTTGGGAAGGTTGCAAGCAAACGTCCAAGAGTTTTCAGAGCACTTAAACTTATTTGAAAATTCCAGCATAAGGACAGTAATATATGAATAATTAAGACAATTTTTAAAAGAACAGCAAAGAGAACTGACCCACCAGTTAAAATATATTAAATGTCTATATTAATTAAAACAGTAGATGTGGATTCAGTGATATACAAAGATTGGTAGATCAAAGAACCCTGGAAACATCTCTGTTTGGCATCTCAAATTTTACAATACCAAACCTGAATCCTTCCATCTACCTTCCTCCCATCCTACATCTACTTGTCTCTCTGCTTTCTCCATTTCAGTTGACAGCCACTCATTGGAATTTGCTTGTTTAACAGTAGGAAAATTTCTTCTTCCCATTTCCCTAGGATTCAATTCCTCACTCTGCCATAATGGGACAGGTTATGACATATTCCCTGAAATTATACTAGAGCCAGGGCTAACTAGGTCTATGGGAAAAATTGAAATATTTTAAATGCTCTTCTCCCTACATCTACAGAGGTCCCCTGAGGTTCTTCTATCTCTGTGGGGTCTCTGCTTTTATAAGCTTCTCTTGAGAGGCATTGAAAATGGGACAGCATTTAACATAAACAAGCTGAAGAGGAAACCAGTGCAATCCCTGTTCCTTCAAGGAGCCATAAAGCGATGAGTAGCACAAAGCGCTCAGCTCTGTATGGGGCAGTGAAGGACATCTAGTTTTCTCATGGAAACGCTTAGCACCCTTAGCGTCACTAAGTGCCAATATACCCCTCTAAGTGCATGGTCAAATGCAGGCATAATTTGTTCTGCCTCCAGAGGATTACAGTAAAAATTAACTCAAAATGGATTAAGTATACCAGATTGCCTTCTCCACCCTGCCTACCCAAGCATTTAACCTTACCGCTCAGCCTCAGAGATAACGAGCTCACAGGTACTTCTCTCTTGAGGGAGATCTAAGTCAATTTAGGATGACTTTAATCCTCTGAATTAAAAAAAAAAAAAAAGTCACCACAAAGCCTGAATCTCATAGTTCACCAATCAGGACAAACAATTTGTTTGCAAAAAATGCTACTTGCTTTTGCAGGTGGAAAACTACTTTCTAGAAATTTACTAATTATAGCTGTAGTTGATGTGGTCATTCATATGAGCAAGAAGAGAGAGAGAGGAATAGAGCAGGGACGTAAGTGGAAGGTGGAAGACTGGGCTGCAGGAGTCTGAAGCAGGACACTGACTGCCGTCTCACAGAAAGTCTCATAGGTGTATAAAACAGCAAGGAAAGTGGCTCTGAGTCTCAGCTGCCCTGAGGGAGGATGGATGATGCTGAAATCTCAGGAACTGGGCAGGTCATCAAAGCAGGTAGGGCAAAGAATCCATTTCCTTCACATTGAAGTCACACGATGCTCCATTTTCTACATTTGCATCAGGACCCATCTGCTTCATGAGCAACATTACTGACAATGATGGGACCCTCATCACTATCCAAAAGTTCCTCTCAAAATCTGCTCCCATTTTCACTGCACTATTCCATACAATTTATTCAATCCATTTATTTTGCAAATAACTGAACATGTCCTATATACATATCATGGTACAACCTTCTGAAGAAAATATAAAGATATCTATAGCCTGTGTACTCAGAGCTCCCCTAACACTGGAAATAAAAATTATTTAATTTTTTGTTTTCTACACTAGGTCATTAGCTCCAAATGGAAGGGACCTTGCCTATCTTGCTCATCATTGCATTTCCAGCATGATACCACCTGATACATAGGTGATAATGAATAAATTAATGATCTCTTTCCTTCTGTCATTAACAGTGTAAGTCAAACATAGATGCAAGAAATTGATTAAATGCATAAATAACAAAGTCACCTAACTCTCTTCCTGAATTATAAATCTGGTATATGAATTCAATATTATACTCATTTATGTGGGTTGGCCATATTTGAACTTATAAGTCTCCAGCTAAAAGAAATCATTTAGATATTGTTTTTTAAAAGGTGCCAAGTTGCATAATAAAGGGATCAATTCTCCAAGAAGACATAATAATCCTTAATAAGTATGCACCCAAAAACTGATAGGACTGCAAGGAGAAAAAGATGAATCTACTATTACTGTTAGAGATTTCAATACCCTTCTACAATAAATAGACAGACCCAGGAGGCAGAGAATCAGTAACGATACCATTGAACTCAAAAGCATCATTAGTCAACTAGATAAAATGGACATGTAGAGACTAATTTGCCCAAGAACAGCAGAATACACATTCTTCTCAAGCTCACATGGAACATTCACCAAGATAGAACACATTCTGGGCCACAAAAAACATCTTAACAAGTTTAAAAGAATACAAATGATGTAATGTCTGCTCTCAGATCACACAATAGAATTAAACTAGAAATCAACAGAAACATAGCTGGAAAATCTTGAAATACTTGGAGAATAAACATAACTCTAACACATGACTCAAAGAAGGAATCTCCAGAGAATTTCAAAAATACTTCAAACTAAATTTAAAAAAAACACATCAAAATTTGTGGGATGCAGCAAATACAGTGCATAGAGGAAAATTTATAGCATTCAGTACCTATATTAGAAAAGAAGAAAGATCTAAAATCAATCACCTAAGCTTCCACCTTAGGAAAGTATAAAAAGAAGAGCAAATTAAATGCAAAGTAAGCAGAAAAGAAAAGAAATTATAAAAAGTAGAGCAGAAATCAATAAAATTTAAAAATCAATAGAGAAAATCAACAAAGCCAAAAGCTGTTTTTTTGAAAATATCAATAAAATACATAAGCTTCTATCCAGGCTAATTCTAAAAAGGAGAGAGAGGACATAAATTACTAATATCAGAAATGAAGGTGAGTACATCACTACAGACCTCATGAACATTAAAAGGATAATAAAGGAATACTTTGAACAACTCTGTGCTCATAAATTTGATAATCTAGATGAAAATGACCAGTTCCTTGAAAGAAACAATATGCAAAGAAGAAATAAACAATCTGAAGTGGTCTGTATGTATTCAAAAATTGGATCAATAATTAATAACTTCCTAAAACAGAAAGCACCAGACACAGATAGGTCCACCAGTGAACTCTATCAAACATTTAAGAAATAAAATATAACAATTATCTATGATCGCTTTCAAAATATAGAAACAGAATACTTCCTAACTCATTCTAGGAGGCCAGGATTACACTAATGCCAAAACCTAACAAAGACATTACAGAAAAGTACACTTCTATATCTCTCATGAATAGAGACACAAAAATTCTCAACATATTAGCAAATTAAATCCAACAATGAATAAAAATAATTATACGGCAAAAACAAGTGGAATTCCAGATATGCAAGGCCAGTTCAACATTCAAAAATTAATTAATTAATGCAATCTGTTGCATCAACAAGCTAAAAATGAAAAATCACATGATTATATCAATAGATGCAGAAAAAAGCATATGACAAAATCCAATACTTATTTCTGATAAAAACTCTCAGTAAACTAGGAATACAGGGGAACCTCCTCAACCTGATAAAGAATATCTACAAAAAACCTAAAGCTAACAACATAGTTAATGGTGAGAAACTCAAAAATTTCCCACTAACATTAGGAACAAGGTAAGTATGTCTCTTCTCGCTACTGTTTTCCAATATACTGAAGGTCCTAGCTAATGCAATAAGATAAGGAAATACAAGGTATAAAGATTGGGAAGAAAGAAATAAATTTTTTTTGCAGATTACATAATTGTATATGCAGAAAATCTGAAAGAACTGACAAAAAAATCTTTTGGAATTAATAGATTATTATTGCAGAGTTGTAAGATATAAGGTTAATACATAAAAATTACTTTTCAATATGTCAGCAATGAACAGGTGGAATTTGAAATCAGAAGCGCAGTATCACTTACATTAGCACCCCTAAAAATGAAATACTTAGTTATAACTCAAACGAATGTGTTTAAGATCTATGTGAGGAAAACTACAAAACTCTTATGAAGGAAATTAAAGAAGAAAATAAATAGAGAGGCAGTCCATGTTCATGGTTAGGAAGGCTCAATATTGTCAAGATGTCAGTTCCTCCCAAATTGATCTGTAGATTTAATACAATTCCAATGAAAATTCCAAGTGAGTTATTCTGTGGACATCAACAAGCTGATTCTAAAGTTTATATGGAGAGGCAAAGGACCCAGAATAGCCAATATAACATTGAAGGAGAAGAACAAAACTAGAGGAGTGACACCATCCAGCTTCAAGACTTATTATTAAAAGCTACAGTAATCAACAATACAGTGTTGGTAAAAGAATAAACAAATAAATCCATGCAACAGAATAGAAAGCCCAGAAATAGACATACAAATATAGTTAATTGATCTTTAATAAAGGAGTAAAAGCAACAATGGAGAAAAGATAGTCTTTTCAACAAATGTTGCTCTGAAGACTGGATATCCACATGCAAAAACATGAATCTAGACACAGACCATACACCTCTGACAAAAATTAACTCAAAATAGATTAAAGACTTACACATAAAATACAACCATACAACTTTCAGAAGAAAACAGGAGAAAATCTAGATCATCTCGGGTTTGGTGATGACTGTTTAGTTGCCGCACCAAAGGCACAAGAAAAGAAATAACGGATAAGGTGGACCTCAGTAAAATTAAAATTTTCTCCTCTGTCAAAGACACTGTCAAGAGAATGAGAAGGCAAGCCACAAAATGGGGGAAAAAATTCCAAAAGACATGTTAGATAAAAGACTGTTTCCCGCAATAAATAAAGAACTCTAAAACTCAAAAATAAAAATAAAATCTGATTTTAAAATGGGCCATACTTAATAGAGACCTTATGAAGGACAATAAACAGATGGTAAGTAAGCATATAAAAAGATATTCCACATCATATACCATCAGGGAAATTCAAATTAAAACAGTAATATTTTTTTTTTTTTTTCTGGAAACAGAGTCTCACTCTGTCACCCAGGCTGGAGTGCAGTGGCGCAATCTCAGCTCACTGCAACCTCTGCCTCCCAGGTTCAAGCGATTCTCGTGCCTCAGCTTCCCAAGGCATGCTCCATCATTCCTGGCTAATTTTTGTATATTTTGTTGAGATGGGCTTTCACTACATTGCCCAGGCTGGTCTTGAGCCCCTGAGCTCAAGTAATCTGCCCACCTTGGCTTCCCAAAGTGCTGGGATTACAGGTGTGAGCCACCATGCCCAGCCAAAACAATAAGAAGACATCTTTACACACATATTAGAATGGCCCAAATCCAGAATACTAACTACATCAAATGTGGTAAGATTCTGGAACTATGGGAACTCTCATTCATTGCTGGTGGGAATGCAAAATGGTATAGCCACTTTGGAAGACAGTCTGGTGATTTGTTACAATATTAAACATACTCTTACTATACAATCCAGCAATCCTACTACTTGTTATGATTGGTATCATACTACTTACTCAAATGTATTGGAAACTTATGCCCACACAAAAACCTGCACATAGATATTTACAGTAGCTTTATTCATAATTGCCAAAACTTGGAAGCAACCAGGATGTCCTTCAGTAGATGAATGGATAAACTATCGTACATCCAGACAATGGAATATTATTCAGTACTAAAAAGAAATGAGTTATGAAGCCATGAAAAGACATAGAGGAAACTTAAATGTACATTGCTATGTGAAAGAAGCCAATATGAAAAGGTTACTTACTGTATGATTCTAACCATATGACATTCTAGAAAAGGCTAAACTACGGAGACAGAAAAAAGATCAAATGTTTCCTGGAGTTAGAAGGATGAGAGGGATGAATAGGCAGAGCACAGATTTTTAGGACAGTAAACTATTCTGTATGATCCTGTAATAGTGAATATGTGTCATTATACTTTTGACCAAACCCATAGAAGGTACAACACCAAGAGTGAACCCTAATGTAAACTATGGACTTTGAGTGACAATGATGTGTCAATGTAGTTTCATCAATTTTAACAAATATATCACTCAGGTGGGGGATATTGATAATGGTGGAGGCTGTGCATGGGTGGGGGTAAGAGATACATGAGAAATCTCTGTACCTTCCACTCAATTTTGCCATGAACCTAAAATCACTCTAAACAATAAAATTCTATTATAAAATTTTTAAAAAATTTAAAGAGGTGCCCAAAGTAAGTGGTTTTCACAGACACGTGTAGTCATGGGTACAGACACCAAGCAGGTAAGCAATATTCCTCAAATGGAGATTGAGCAAGGGTCATCCTCATCTGGGTGTGGGAGAAAAAAGTTAAATTCCCATCAAGGGAGGAGAGAATATCAGGATAGCTTCAGAGAAAGTCAGCTCTAGATAGAATCACCTTATCCCACCGCCATTGTATAACATCTAAACTCATTCCCCAGATTTCAGGATCAAAAATAGCCCTCGGAAATCAACAGTGCTCAGATAGACGGAGGCTTGCAGATGCCAGAACAGGCTCACATGACAAACCCACCTCCGCCCCCTTTACTTTAAAGTATGGAACTTTTAAGACTAGAAGAGGAACTTTCTGGTTCCTTTGCTATGAGTCAGAGATGCTTTTGGTGTACTTGTGAGCAGCCAGGAGGAGGAAGAAAGCACAAACATAAGGAGGATGAGGAGTAGGAGGGGAAAATCATTTTCTTTTCAGGCTGAATGTGCTCGCTGGAGGATTGCTGAGGTGTTTCTCTTTGTTTGGAAAGAAGAAATCGATGCTTGCATCTAAACTACATCCTAATTAGAAGCCACATCAGGCAAAATCTCTAAACCTTTTCAGCCCTGAGAAGCAAAAGCGTCATCACATTATCACTCTGCAAAATTGAATCATTAATACATAGTAAAAACATAAAAACTGTGAAAAAGACTGTGAAGTATGCAGCCACAGGAATGCATTACGGAAGAATGAGTAATAAGTTCCAGTAGCTGTGGTGGTGGTTATAATGAATAAATCCTACCCTAACAAATGAAGTCACCTGGTTCTCTTCCTAAATTACAAATCCAATAGACCAGAGACAAGTGCTAGGTATGATGGTGGGGGAGGGAGCATTTAGAAAAACTTCCAATCCAGAGGTCTAGGCTTTTGCAGAGAAATGAATGTAAATGAAGTCATAGGTGGAAAGCTCAGCACCTTAGAGCAGCAAATGTGTGCTAATGAAGGCAAAGGATGCCAACAGAGTTTTGCTTCTGATAGAGAAAAGCTCTTCTTTCCTGGCTAACATATGTGAGGCTAACCTAGTCTCCCTGTCTTAGGCATGTTGGCCCTTGATCACCAGAGGGACCAGAATGGATCTGGGGGTGGGGGAGTTTCTCTATGAACACATTCTTGGCACTAGAACAATAACACAAAGCATGTATCCTAACAATTGTTGGCCTTCTTCATAGACAAGGCACAATTTGCTTCATGTCCTGTTATGGGATGGCATGGGGATTCTAGAACCAGAGACTATGTTTAAATATTGACTCCACCATTTACTAGCTATGTGACCTTGAGCAGGTTGCTTAATCTCTTTGCATCCCAGCCAGCCTGGCTTAAAGTGCATATAAATTATATTTTATACTTCATAGTGTTATTGAGAGGATTAAGAAGAGTCATGCAAAAGGCTTTGTAATGTGTAAAGAAAGAGCTATACAAATTCACAGGATTGTGGTATTGTCTTGGACAGCCCATTTTCATTAACGCCAAGCAAGCTTGGTGGAGGTTGAACTGTCCAGGAAAAGAGACAGAATATCCATAGACTCAGAAATACAAGATGTTCAACAGAAATTTATTACACTGATAAATGACTGAACAAGATTCATCAAATGATTAAACTTGGATGGTGAAACCAAGGGCCTAGATTACATCTGGTCTGAGGCAAACCTCTTCCTCCCAGCCCATGCTCTGGACAATGATTCATCAGCCTCTCAGTTCTACAGACACTAACAGCTCTAATCCATGTCCCTGTACTTGGATGCCTATGTCAGATCTAGTGAGACGCATGCACAGAAAAAGAACTAGGGAGCAAAGAAAACATGGCAGAGAAATTGTTGCACCCATAGGCACGTGCATGCATAGAGCCATGGTCATTACCCTTTGAAAGGGACAGAGTTGTCAACATTCCTCACTCTAATGCCAAGAACAAACTAAGCCCCACCACAGGCATCTTTGGCTTCAATAGCATCAAGTCCAACAATGTGGTATCTACATCAAAGCAACCTCCTTCTCAAAAGAGCTTTGTTACTTGAGAGGATCCTCTCTTTCCTACACAACTAGCACCTGCAGCCTGTCTGGAGGTTTACAGAGCATTCCTGTATCTATTATCTTAGTGAGCCTGTGAGAATCCCATGAGGTAGGCAGATAAGTTCTTTTCAGCTCTATTTTATAGAGGAAGATCCCAAAGTTCAGAGAGCTTAAATGTCTTTACCCAAAGGCACATAATTTATAAGTCATGGAGCTAGGCCCTCAAACTCAGACCTGACTTCAGATCCTAGAATGATCTTTCCTCAACCTCAGGATTACTCCCCATGTACTTTTGGTGAGAGAAGAGCAGCAGCACCCAAGAAATTTGTCTGCCATCCTCCTTGCCTGTTCACTCTCCCCAGGCCTGGCCTGGAACCATACTTGCTTCAGAGAGGCAGTCACTCCCCTACCAAAGCCGTGCTGGAAGAGCTGCTAGATATCTCTCCACAAATTGCCCTGCTCTCTGCCAGACATTCATGCCAGTTTGTACCGCGATTCCTGAACTGATGGCTTAACGGCATATTCAGAAGACTGTCTTCCATCCCTTCTGGAGGAGACACCAGGCAGAGAGAAAGAAGTCAGTCAATGGCCTACTGTGAGTCAACTTTACCCTTCCAGGACCAACTCAGGGCTGAAGTTCACTTACAGAGCCTTAGGCAGTTACTCAAACTTCTGAAGGGTGATTTCTCAATTTAACTAAGTATCTGAAGCCACACTTTTCCTATTTGCCTTCAGTAGGCACTACCAGTGCACACAGATAAGGACTGAGGCCAAGAATAGAATCTGACCATAAACCCGTTATATCAGGATCTTCTTAAGATGGCTGAATAGGAACAACTCCGGTCTGCAGCAAGATCAACGCAGAAGGCGGGTGATTTCTGCTTTCCAACTGAGGTACCCGGCTCATCTCACTGTGACTGGTTAGACAGTGAGTGCAGCCCACGGAGGGTGAGCAGAAGCAGGGTGGGGCATCACCTCACCCAGGAAGCACAAGGGATAGGGAACTCCCTCCTGTAGCCAAGGGAAGCCCTGAGGGACTGTGCTGTGAGGAATAGTGCACTCTGGCCAAAATACTATGCTTTTCCCACAGTCTTCACAACCTGCAGACCAAGAGATTCCCTCAGGTGCCTATACCACCAGGGCCCTGGGTTTCAAGCACAAAACCGGGCTGCCATTTGGGCAGGAGTTTTTTTTTTCATACCCCAGTGGCACCTGGAACACCAGCGAGACAGAACCATTCACTCCCCTGGGAAGGGGGCTGAAGCCAGGGAGCCAAGTGGTCTAGTTCAGTGGATCCCACCTCAATGGACCCCAGCAAGCTAAGATCCACTGGCTTGAAATTCTTGCTGCCAGCACAGCAGTCTGAAGTCCACCTGGGACACTTGAGCTTGGTAGGGGGAGAGGCGTCCACCATTACTGAGCCTTGAGTAGGCTACTTTCCCCTCACAGTATAAAAAAAGCTGCAGGGAAGTTCAAACTGGGCGAAGCACACCAAAGTGCCACAAAGCCAATGTAGCCAGACTGCCTCTCTAGATTCCTCCTCTCTGGGCAGACCATGTCTGAAAGAGAGGCAGCAGCCCCAGTCAGGGTCTTATAGATAAAACTCCCATATCCCTGGGACAGAGCACCTGAGGGAAATGGTGGCTGTGGGCACAGGTTCAGTAGACTTAAACACTCCTGCCTGCTGGCTCAGAAGAGAGCAGCAGATCCCCCAGCACAGCACTTGAGCTCTGCTAAGGGACAGACTGCCTACTCATGTGGGTCCCTGACCCCCATGCCTCCTGATGGGGAGACACCTCCCAGCAGGGGTCCACAGACACCTCATATAGGAGAATTCCAGCTGGCATCTGGTAGGTGACCCTCTGGACAAAGCTTTCAGAGGAAGGAACAGGCAGCAATCTTTGCTGTTCTGCAGCCTCTGCTGGTGATACCCAGGCAAACAGGGTCTGGAGTGGACCTCCAGCAAACTCCAGCAGACCCGCAGCAGAGCAGCCTGATTGATAGAAGGAAAACTAACAAACAGAAAGGAATGGCAACAACACCAACAAAAAGGAGTTACACACCAAAATCCCATTCGAAGGTCACCAACATCAAAGACCAAAGATAGAAAAACCCACGAAGATGAGGAAAAACTAGTGCAAAAAGTCTGAAAATTCCAAAAACCAGAATGCTTCTTCTCCTCCAAAGGATCACAGCTCCTCACCAGCAAGGGAACAAAACTGGATGGAGAATGAATTTGACAAATTGACAGAAGTAGGCTTCAGAAGGTGTGTAATAACAAACTTCTCCGAGCTAAAGGAGCATGTTCTAACCCAATGCAAGGAAGCTAAGAACCTTGAAAAAAAGTTGGATGAATTGCTAACTAGAATAACAAGTTTAGAGAAAAATATAAATGACCTGATGGAACTGAAAAACACACCACGAGAACTTCGTGAATATACACAAGTATCAGTAACTGAATCGATCAAGCGGAAGAAAGGATATCAGAGATTGAAGATCAACTTAATGAAATAAAGTGTGAAGCCAAAATTCGAGAAAAAAGAATGAAAATGAATGAACAAAGCCTATAAGAAAAGTGGGACTATGTGAAAAGACAAAACCTATGTTTGATTGATGTACCTGAAATTGACGGAGAGAATGGAACCAAGTTGGAAAACACTCTTCAGGATATTATACAAGAGAACTTCCCCAACATAGCAAGACAGGCCAACATTCAAAATCAGGAAATACAGAGAACACCAAAAACATACTCCTCAAGAAGAGCAACCCCAAGACACATAATCTTCAGATTCACTAAGGTTGAAATGAAAAAATAACGTTAAGGGAAGCCAGAAAGAAAGGTCGGGTTACCCACAAAGGGAAGCCCATCAGACTAACAGCAGATCTCTCAGCAGAAACATACAAGCTAGAAGAGAGTGGGGTACAATATTCAACACTCTTAAAGGAAATGATTTTCAACCCAGAATTTCATATCTAGCCAAACTAAGCTTCATAAGCAAAGGAGAAATAAAATCCTTTACAGACAAGCAAATGCTGAGAGATTTTGTTACCACCAGGCCTGCCTTACAAGAGCTCCTGAAGGAAGCACTAAATATGGAAAGGAACAACCGGGACCAGCCACTGCAAAACATACTAAATTGTAAGGACCATAGATACTATGAAAAAACTGCATCAACTAACAGGCAAAATAACCAGCTAGCATTATAATGATAGGATCAAATTCACACATAACCATATTAACCTTAAATGTAAACAGGCTAAATGCCCCAATTAAAAGACACAGACTGGCAAATTGGATAAAGAGTCAAGACCCATCGGTGTGCTGTATTCAGGATACTCATCTCATGTGCAAAGATGCACATAGGCTCAAAATAAAGGGATGGAGGAATATTTAGCAAGAAAATGGAAAGCCAAAAAAAAAAAAAAAAAAAAAAGCAGGGGTGGCAATGCTAGTCTCTGATAAAACACACTTTAAACCAACAAAGATCAAAAAAGAGAAAGAAGGCCATTACGTAATGGTAAAGGGATCAACACAACAAGGAGAGCTAACTATCCTAAATATATATATGCACTCAACACAGGAGCACCAAGATTCATAAAGCAAGTTCTAAGAGACCTACAAAGAGACTCAGACTTCCACACAATAATAGTGGGAGACTTTAACACCCCATTGTCAATATTAGATCAATGAGACAGAAGATTAACAAGGATATTCAGGACGCGAACTCAGCTCTGGACCAAGCAGACCTAATAGACATCTACAGAACTCTCCAACCCAAATCAACAGAATATACATTCTTCTCAGCACCACATCACACTTATTCTAAAATTGACCACAAAATTGGAAGTAAAACACACCTCAGCAAATGCAAAAGAACAGATATCATAACAAACAGTCTGTCAGACCACAGTGCAATCAAATTAGAACTCAGGATTAAGAAACTCACTCAAAACCACAAAACAATATGGAAACTGAACAACCTGCTCCTGAATGACTACCGGGTAAACAACAAAATTAAGGCAGAAATAAATAAGTTCCTTGAAACCAATGAGAACAAAGACACAAGGTACCAGAATCTCTGAGACACAGCTAAAGCAGTGTTTACAGGGATATTTATAGCACTAAACGCCCACAGGAGAAAGCAGGAAAGATCCAAAATTGACACCCTAACATCACAATTAAAAGAACTAGAGAAGCAAGAGCAAACAAATTCAAAAGCTAGCAGAAGACAAGAAATAACTAAGATGCGAGCAGAACTGAAGGAGACGGAGACATAAAAAACCCTTCAAAAAAATCAATGAATCCAGGAGCTGGTTTTTTGAAAAGATTAACAAAATAGACCACTAGCCAGACTAATAAAGAAGAAAAGAGAGAAGAATCAAATAGACACAATAAAAAATGATAAAGGGGATATCACCACTGATCCCACAGAAATACAAACTACCATCAGAGAATACTATAAACGCCTCTATGCGAATGAACTAGAAAATCTGGAAGTGGATAAATTCCTGGACACATATACCCCCCCAAGACTAAACCAGGAAGAAGTCAAATACCTGAACAGACCAATAACAAGTTCTGAAATTGAAGCAGTAATTAACAGCCTAACAACCAAAACAAAACCCAGGACCAGACAGATTCAAAGCTGAATTCTACCAGAAGTACAAAGAGGAGCCGTTACCATTCCTTCTGATACTATTCCAATTAATAGAAAAACAGGGACTCCTCCCTAACTCATTTTATGAGGCCAGCATCATCCTGATACCAAAACCTGGCAGAGACACAACAAAAAAAGAAAATTTCAGGCCAATATCCCTGATGAACATCGATGCAAAAATCCTCAGTAAAATACTGGCAAACTGAATCCAGCAGCACATCAAAAAGCTTCTCCACCACGATCAAGTCAGCTTCATCCCTGGGATGCAAGGCTGATTCAACATACACAAATAAATAAGCATAATCCCTCTCATAAACAGAACCAATGACAAAAACCACATGATTATTTCCATAGATGCAAAAAAGGCCTTCGATAAGATTCAACAGACCTTCATGCTAAAAACTCTCAATAAACTAGGTATTGACGGAACGTATCTCAAAATAATGAGAGCTATTTATGACCACCCCACAGCCAATGTCCTACTGAATGGGCAGAAGCCAGAAGCATTCTCTTTGAAAACCAGCACAGAACAGGGATGCCCTCTCTCACCACTCCTATTCAACATAGTGTTGGAAGTTTTTGCCAGGGCAATCAGGCAAGAGAAAGAAATAAAGCGTATTCAAATAGGAAGAGAGGAAGTCAAATTGTCTCTGTTTGCAGATGACATGATTGTATATTTAGAAAACCCCATCATCTCAGCCCAAAATCTCCTTAAGCTGATAAGCAACTTCAGTAAAGTCTCAGGATACAAAATCAATGTGCAAAAATCACAAGCATTATTGTACACCAATAATAGCCAAATCATGAGTGAACTCCCATTCACAATTACTACAAAGAGAATAAAATACCTAGGAATACAACTTACAAGGGATGTGAAGGACCTCTTCAAGGAGAACTACAAATCACTGCTCAAGGAAATAAGAGAGGACACAAATAAATGGAAGAATATTCCATGCTCATGGATAGGAAGAATCAGTATCATGAAAATGGCCATACTGCCCAAAGTAATTCATAAATTCAATGCTATCCCCATCAAGCCACCATTGACTTTCTTCACAGAATTAGAAAAAACTACTTTAAATTTCATATGGAATGAAAAAAGAGCCCATATGCCCAAGACAATCCTCAGCAAAAAGAACAAAGCTGGAGGCATCAGGCTACCTGATGTCAAACTATACTACAAGGCTACAGTAACCAAATCAGCTCGGTACTGGTACCAAAACAGATATACAGACCAGTGGAACAGAACAGAGGCCTCAGAAATAACACCACACATCTACAACCATCTGATCATTGACACATCTGACAAAAACAAGAAATGGGGAAAGGATTCCCTATTTAATAAATGGTGCTGGGAAAACTGGCTAGCCATATGCAGAAAACTGAAACTGGACCCCTTCCTTACACTTTATACAAAAATTAATTCCAGAAGGATTAAAGACTTAAATGTAAGACCTAAAACCATAAAAACCCTAGAAGAAAACCTAGGCAATACTATTCAGGACATAGGCATGGGCAAACACTTCATGACTAAAACACCAAAAGCAATGGCAACAAAAGCCAAAATTGACAAATGGGATCTAATTAAACTAAAGAGCTTTTGCACAGCAAAAGGAACTATCATCAGAGTGAACTGGCACCCTACAGAATGGGAGAAAATGTCTGCAATCTATCCATCTGACAAACGGATAATACCCAGGATCTACAAGGAACTTAAACAAATTGACAAGAAAAAAAAAACCCCATCAAAAAGTGGGTATAGCATATGACAGACACTTATAAAAGGAAGACATTTATGCAGGCAACAAACATATGAAAGAAAAGTTCATCATCAGTGGTCACTAGAGAAATGCAAATCAAAACCACAATGAGATACCATCCCACAGCAGTTAGAATGACGATCATTAAAAAGTCAGGAAACAACAGGTGCTGGAGAGGATGTGGAGAATAGGACTGCTTTTACACTGTTGGTGGGAGTGTAAATTAGTTCAACCATTGTGGAAGACACTGTGGCAATTCCTCAAGAATCTAGAACTAGAAATACCATTTGACCCAGCCATCCCATTACTGGGTATATACCCAAAGGATTATAAATCATGCTGCTATAAAGTCACACGCACACGTATGTTTATTGCGGCACTATTCACAAAAGCAAAGACTTGGAACCAACCCAAGTGTCCATCAATGATAGACTGGATTAAGAAAATGTGGCACATATACACCATGGAATACTATGCAGCCATAAAAAAGGATGAGTTCATGTCCTTTGTAGGGACATGTATGAAGCTGGAAACCATTATTCTGAGCAAACTATTGCAAGGACAGAAAACCAAATACCACATGTTCTCACTCATAGGTGGGAACTGAACAATGAGAACACTTGGACACAGGGTGAGGAACATCACACACCAGGGCCTGTCATGGGGTGAGGAGAAGGGGGAGGGATAGCATTAGGAGAAATACCTTATGTAAATGATGAGTTAATGGGTGCAGCACACGAACATGGCACATGTATACATATGTAACAAAACTGCACATTGTGCACACATACCCTAGAACTTAAAGTATAATTAAAAAAAAAAAAAGTCAGGAAACAACAGATGCTGAAGAGGATGTGGAGAATAGGAATGCTTTTATACTGTTGGTGGGAGTGTAAATTAGTTCAACTATTGTGGAAAACAATGTGGCGATTCTTCAAGGATCTAGAACCAAAAATACCATTTGACCCAGCAATCCTATTACTGGGTATATACCCAAAGGATTATAAATCATTCTACTATAAAGACTCATGCACATGTATGTTTATTGCAGCACTATTCACAATAGCAAGACTTGGAACCAACCCAAATGCCTATCAGTGATAGACTGGATAAAGAAAATGTGGCACATATTCACCGTGGATACTATGCAGACATAAAAAAGGATCAGTTAATGTCCTTTGCAGGGACAGGGATGAAGCTGGAAACCATCATTCTCAGCAAACTAACACAAGAACAGAAAACCAAACACCACATGTTCTCACTCATAAGTGGGAGTTAAACAATGGGAACACATGGACACAGGGAGAGGAACATCACACACTGGGGCCTGTCAGGCGGTCAGGGGGCTAAGGGAGGGATAGCATTAGAAGAAATACCTAATGTAGATCACAGGTTGATGGGTACATCAAACCACAATGGCACGTGTATACCTAGGTAACAAACCTGCACATTCTGCACATGTATCCCAGAACTTAAAGTATATATATATGAAAAAAAAAAACAACCCTTATATCCTGTCCCACAGTCACACCATTCCCTGGATGCCTGAAACTCATTTCTAAAACAGCCTCATTGCTTTTGCCTATCAGTACCTTCTTCCAGGTTTAGTCTTTCCCCCTTTTCTGCCTGAAGAAATGCCAGTTTCTCCTTTTAGAGCTATTAAAATTGCACCTCATTCCTTCTTTCAGTCACTCATTTATGCAAGCAACAGCAAAGCCTTCCTTGTCTCTCAGAGGCAGACAGTCACCACCCTCACTGACAGCTCCCCCACACATGCCTCCATCCCAGCATGGGTCACACCATATTTTTTAAAAAAACACATTTATCTATGTAAAAATGTATGAGTTCATTTAAGAAGTAATACTGAGTCAAAAAGTAATACAGGTTGAACTTTGGTAAAAATGGACCCAAAAAAATATGGACCCAAAAATGGCAAAAATGGACCCCAAAAAACTAAAGTTTGGACAATAATACAGTGGAATCTACTATCCCCAAACACCTTTGACAAGTCTTAATTGGTCTTGCCTCAAGAAGTGTTCCCAGGCAAAGCCCTTTCTGTCTTATTGCCACTGCCATGTCTTAATTCAGAATACTGATCCACTCAATAAGCATTTGTTGATCATTGACTATGTGCCAGTTATCAGTATATATAGTCCCTGCCCTAAAGCTCATAAATTCCTAGAAGAGTTATACAAGTAGACAATTATATTATCATGATAAATGCAACGTAGGAGGTAATCACAGAGAGCCTTGGGAGGGATACTGATTCCATTCTAAGGGGTCGGAGGAAAAGTGGTAGTCATCTGAACTGAGTCATTAAGGACTGGCAGGAGTTAGCAAAAGAAGAGAAGAAAGTTCAGGCAGAAAGGCTAGTGTTCTTCATTCCTTTACAGAGATTCATATTTTCATTCAGTATCATTTTTGGTTTGTCTGAAAGACATCTGTTTACATTTTTTATAGTGCTGGTGTATTAATGACAAACTTTTTTCAGATTTTACATGTCTAAGATATCTTCACTTAAATTTTGGTTTTGAAAGATTTTTGCTGGGTATAGAATTCTAGGTTGATAGTTTTCTTTTAGTACTTTAAAGATGGTGCTCTATTGTTTTCTACTTGCATTCTTTCTAGCATTCTTTCTAACAAGAAATCTGATGCCTTTGTTCCTTGTTACATAGCATATATTTTTTCCTATGTTTGCTTTTAAGATTTTCTTTTTATCACTGATTTTGAAATTTTTATGATGTACCTTGCCATAGGTTTTTTGTGTGTTTTCATGTTTCTTCTGCTTGGGGTTTGCTGGGCTCTTGGATTTGTGAATTCATGTTTTTCATCAAGTTTGAAGATTTTTCAGCCATTATTTCTTCAAATATTGCTTCTACTTTCTCTCTGTCTCTCTCATCCTTTGCTTTTTATTTTTTAAATTATAAAAGCAGCCTCACAAGCCAGAGTAGGCTCAGAAAGATTTCCCTCTCTCATCCTTTGCAGACTCCAATTATATGTATATTTGCCCTGTAAAGTTGTGTCATAGCTCTTCGAAGCCTCTTTCATTTTTCTTAAATTCTTTTCTCTCTATGTATTTTATTTGGATAGTGCATATTGCTGTGTCTTCAAGTGTATTAATCTTCCCTTCTGTGATGTCTAGTGTCAATTCTGCCATTAATCCTACCTAATGCATTTTTTATCTTGGACAATGCTTTTTCATCTCTAGAAGCTTGATTTGAACAAAAAATTTACCATGTCTCTACTTAAATATTGAAACATATGGAATATAGTTATAATAACTAATGTCTTTGCCTACTACTTCTAAAAACCTGTAACGGTTGAGTCAGTTTTGGCTGACTGATTTTTCTCCTCATCATGTACTGTATTTTCTTCTTTCTTTGCTTAATTGGTCATTTTTATTGAATGTCAGACATTGTGAATAGGACTTTTGGGGTACTGGATATTTTTGTATTCCTACACGTATTTTTGAGCTTTATTCTGGAACACAGTTAAATTATTTGGAAACAACTTGATCCTTTGAGTCTTACCTTTAAGATTTGTTAAGTGGACCCAGAGCATTATTTAGTCTAGGGACAATTATTTCCCACTGCCAAGGAAAGACCCTTCTGACTACTCAATCCAATGTCCCGTCAATACAGCTGGCCTGGTGGGAACTGAACTTCTTCCCAACCTTGTGCAAGCACCAGTCACTGTTTTTTAATAATCCTTTTGGGTCATTCTTCTCCTAGCTTTGGGCAGTTTCTTCATTCACAAGGGTTGATTAGTTATCTATTGAAGGCTTGAGGAAGATTCTCTGCAGTATCTTCCTAGTTTTCTCTTTGTGCAGCCCTCTCCTATTTGATACTTGCTATGGTCTGAATATGTCCCTCAAAAGTGCATGTGTTGAAAACGTAATCCCTCTGCCCTCACGAATGGATTGATGCCAGTATCTTGAAAATGAGTTCGTTATTATTGGAGTATCTTTATTATAAAAATGAGCTCTCTCTGGCTCTCTTGCCCATTCACCATGTAATGCCCTCTGCCATATTATGATGCATCATGAAGGCCCTAACAAGATGCCAGCACCATGCTCTTGGGCTTCCCAGCTTTCTGGAGGAACCATGAGCTAAATAAACTCTTTTCTTTTTAAATTATCCAGTCTGTGTGGTATTCTGTTTTAGTAGCAGAAAACAGGCCAAGACAATACTCTCCTCTGTCATATCTAGCTGCCTTCATCAGATCCACACTCTCAGTTCCATTTCCTCAGATTCTGACTGAGTTCTCCAACCAGGTTGCAGAAATTCTCTCAAGGCAGTAAACTGGGGTAATCATAGGGCTAACTTCATTTATTTCCTGCATCTTAGGGATCATTGTCCTTTGTTACTTGATGTCCAGTATCTTGAAAGTATTGTTTTATATATTTTGTTAAGCTTTCTGTTTACTTTTGTTTCCTTTTTTTTTTTTCAGGCAAGAGGGTAAATCTGGTCTTTGTTATATAACCTTGGACAAATTAATCACAGTGTCTTTTAACACTGGATTTATGCATCTCTCTTTCTACTAGACTCTGAGCTCCTTAACAGTAAGGTCTGTGCTTTATTCATTTTCACATCTTCACACATGTATGGCACACAATGTAGATGGAATAATAATTAACAAAGATTAATTCTATATCATAGATGTAGGCTACCTTTTTCCATTGCCTCAATTACAATGGGGATGGCAAGAGTGGTCCATTGGATATTTACAGAATCTCAGGATCTTGGCCCTCTCCTCTGGTTTATCCCTTTATAAAACATGGAATCCTCTAATACATTCCTAACAAGGCAGCAAAAGTTAAAATGGTGTTTAGGTGGAGGAAGAGGATGAGAGATGAAGTACCATGTCTCCCCTTGGCAATAGAAGGCCTCTCTGACCCATAATTATCTTCCCACACATACCCATTACCAACAGGGGTCTACAGACAGACATCAGGAAACATAGGAAAGGGATAAAAGTTGAGAGCAGAAGACAGAATATAGTTTCAAGCAGGAGATATTTCTCAGACTAAAAAAAAAAATACTCTTGGACGTGGCTACCAAAAAGATGGACCTAGATTGGCAGGACTGTCTCTCTGCTTTTGCTTTTCCAACAACGCCATATCACATTCAGGCACATGCATTTACATAGACACATCCTAAACCATACTGCAGCTGAGATTAACACAGACAGATCATCAGATAAGCAATCCTACGGTAATATTGCAGACAACCACGAGAGATTCTGAGTAATTTAGGATGTCAACAATTGTTACAGGTATTGCTTATCAGAGTAGGGTATGTGAGAAGAAACTTAATAACAGCTAAACATGTAGGAGGTTTTATACCAACAATCTCAGTTTTTATGCAAACAATTTCAATCCTCCCCATTCTTGGATGTTAGCTGGTATAGGACCATGCTCCCCCATTTTATGTAAGGGAACTAAAATCCACAATGATTAGATGTCAAGTATGAGTTGGTTTTCCTAGTCCTTAATTCTAAGACCTTGACCTGAACCATTCTAAACCATAGGTAAGTGATGAAGCTGGTGTCATCAATGTACGGGATCTTTAAAAAAAAAAATGTTACTGACAAACCCCTACCATCAAAAATATAAACCCTAGAAAAAACCTGAGAAGTGACCAGGCTGTAGACAGTAGCCCTAAAACCATCTAAGCAGTTCAGGGCAAAGTTGTGATAGACGTAACATCAAAGAATGCCTTTAAAAAGGAGACTGAAGGGTTTTCTTCCTTTGTTTTTTCTGTATCTACATTAGATAGACTGGCTGAGGAGAATAATATGAACAGTAAGCAGACAGAATAAGTACAGAGTCCTGGCTGGACCCTAGACCCTCAGCTAAATCCCTGAAGAAGTGAGTATATTTTACATATACACCAATAATATCGACTAAAAGTGGAGGCTCTTTCCAGAACATTCTGGGTTTCTGGTGTCTAGCAACTCAGCGGAAAGTTTAGCTTTTCTTTAGAATTCATGTCAATCTGATACACAAAGAAAGAAGAAAAGGTTGAAGAAAGAAAAGAGAGGGAGGAGCAAAGAACAAGGAACAAGTGAAGAAAATAAAAGTAAGAAAAAAAAACAGACTTTTCCTTCCTATTACCCCATGGAGGAGGTTGTGTATGGCTGTACAGTTACAAAATGCCATCTTTTTCTGTCTTCCAGCAAACAGCTTTAGAATAGGAACCTCCTGATAGCACATCCCTACAGCATTTCTAAACAAGTGTATTTTGGTCTTGGCAGACATATCCTTGCCTGTGACTGGCTTCATACCTCTAAATGGGATGGTCTTCTGGAAGGAGCACTCCATGGCCCAGGGGGCTTTGCTCCACTCACAATGGGATCAGTAGTGAGCTCTCACTAAGCCCATACTATGTGCACTAACTCCTCGATAACTCAAAGGGCAACATAACCACAGTGATCTGGATGTAATGGATGGTAAGAAGCTGGTCTTCAAGTTAGTGAGGGACCATTATGAAAAGAAGGTTGGCCACTTGTGCTTCCTTCACCAGAAAAGAGAAGTAGAAATCCTCTTATCTAAGAGCAGAAGATGGAGCTCAATGGACTGAACATAAAACTAAGTAGGCGAGGGAGATAATGGAGTGTCTGGCTTAAAAATCTTTAAAACCAAGAAAAATAAGTACCTACTCTGACTGGGTTGGTTACAAACCAACGGGAGCTTACATAGGATCTACTTTAGAGACTGCCTTCACCTCAAACATCTGCATGGGTAGGGAAAGAAATTAAGTGTGTTCTCCTAGACACAGTGATGAGGACACCCCTGCCCTCTGTTCCACAGCAGCTCCAACAGGCTCCCCTGGATATGAAATCAGACAAGAGCCCTACTGTGATTTTTAAATAAGACAGGATAATTTACTGAGATCTTAATTTGGATTTGTATTGCTCTTGCTATGGTTTTCTCTCCCCTGCTCCAAGAAGGTACCAGGCCTTGCATGCTCACCTGCCTTTGGGGAATGTAGGGAGAGGGATAGTAGCACTAGAAGAGTGAAAAGCAAAACCAACCTTCGGACAGCTTCTTTTGCATTGTCTCCTGCCATCTGGGGCACTTTTAAAGGGTATGGTACAGAGGAAGCTGAGAGGCAGAAGCAGGAAGAGAGCGAGCTGATGCTCCAAGATGGGAAGGAGACACAAGTCTATGGGCTCTAAGAGTGGGCTAGGAAGACTGTTGAGATGGCAAGACCCCTGGAGGGGTAAGTGGCAGTGGTTGTGTAGTGGCTGGCCAGGACCACCTTTCAGCTGCCTCCTCCAGGAACATCTGGCTTAGTCTAATGCCTTTCTAAACAATTCTAAGGCACTACATTCTTTTCTCTTTCCCTGTGGATTGCATTATATTGAAAAATACTCAAAATATGTCTACCATTAACAAAGACTTGGAAACCTTCTTTGTTAAACAGTAGTGTTTGTGGCAGGTATCTCTGTCGTTTGTGGAGCTGACCTGCCTGCTGATTGTCACTTGTTTATAATAATACTTTTTAAGTATGACTATATTGCCTTATACAAATGGAATACATCATCCCACCACACTGGGGATCTGTCAAGGGCAAAAAAATATGCCATTTAATTATTCTACTCGAAACAATAAATATTTATAAACCTCAGCCCCACAGAAGGTACAGAAACATTAACAGGCATGGTTTTGCCCTCTGGTGGCTTACAGTCTTGAGAAACAAGGCACAGAAGATAAGAAACATACAACCTGCAAGTGAGTGGTAAATGTGTATAATATTGGCTTTAGACACCTCAGGGATTCAGAAGTATGGGGCTTACTGACAGTCCAGAGAGTGAACTGGCTGGGACTGCCTAGGAAAGGAGCAGAACTCACTGCTGAGCACCCACTGTGAGCCAGGCCTGTGTCAGGCATGTGGCATCATAATCTCACTTAGAACCGCAAGACCCCTTGGAGGGGGCAGGCGTGGCGGCGGGGGGGGGTCCTGTCAACCACCTTTTACAGATACACCTCACAGTAAATGATTCCAGAATTTGTAGCCAGGTCTAAGCGACTCCAAAATGCTCTTTCTCCTGTATCAAATTGCCACACCCAAGAGAAGCCTGGCTTGACATTCAGGTGTGGGGTAATGAGGGCCTGGACTCAGGTAAAGACAGAACAAATAGAGAAGCTAAGCTGAAGAGAGCTGTCTACCTGATTGGGTGTTGGGGAAGAAGCAAAGAGTGAATTAAGGAAGCTCAGACTCAGATTCTAACAGTGCCTTCCAGGGTTGGGCTCACAATGGTTTTTAATCAGTCTCATTAGTCACTTGTTCAGGTTAACCCTAAATATCCGACTATGACCCTATTTTATAGAACCCAGTGTCTAGAAAGCAATTCCCAAAGTGTGACCAGGAACTCTAGAGATTCCCTGAGACCCTTTCAGGGGTCCTTACATTCAAAATTATTTCCCTAATAAAACTAAGACATTACTGTCCTTTTTGACTCTCATTCTCTCACAAATGTACAGTGAGTTGAGTTTCCAGAAACCACATAGTATGTAATATTGCAATGGGCTGAATACAGATGTAGATATGAGATTCCAGCTTCATTCATTAAGGTAGGGTCAAAAAGATTTTCAAAGTCTAAAAGAACAGCACTCTTGACACAAAATTATTTCTAAAAATATGCCGATAGTCAACATGCAATAACTTTATTACTCTTATTCTTAAATGAATAGATTTTTAAATTTCAGTTTTAACTTCTAAAACAATATGTATTGAGATATATATCTCACTTATGAGATATATATATATATATTTTTATCATTATCTCATACAAACAAAAGCTCTTTGGGATTTGGGGATTTCTGATAATGTTTTAAGATTATAAGGGAGTCTTGAGACCAAAAAAATGAGAACCACTGATATAAAAGAACAATGGCAAAGACAAGCTCTCAAAATGTATTTGTGTTTAACTTCCACTAACTGGTGGGCCAGGCATTCTACTAGGTGGTTTATATTTGTGACTTCATGTGATCTTCTTAACACTTTAAGGCAAAAACATATTCCATTTTGCAGATGAGGAGAATGAGCCTCAGAGAGTTGAACATCTTGCCCAAGGTCTCACAGCCATTAGCTAAGCAGAACAGAATTCAAGCCTATGTCTGTCAAATGCTAAGGCCCAGGCTGTTAATCATTATCTAGTTCTCCAAAAGTCAATACCACAAAGGTACATATTAAAGTCAGATTTCTAAAAAACTAAATCCATGATAATAGATAATAGAAAAGACCCATCGTGAGGGAAGAAATTTTAGGATAAAGGGGTAGTAAATGAGTATAATTCGTTAGTCCTAAATGCTTCTTGCCTCCTAGGCACTATACTGTGCCCTAAGAACAAGTGGTAAACAAGGTAAACTCAATTCTTCCACTTAAGGAGCTTAAGAAGAGAGAGATAGTGAAAAGGCAGAGAGAGATTTAAACAAATACACAAATACAAAGCAGTTCAAAAACACAGCAATGCCTGGAAGGAAAGTAGTCTTGCTCAGAGCCATCCCCATTCACGTACCAAGGGAGCTGGGAAGGGCAACAGAGTATCTGGCACAAATCATCCCCGGTGCTCCTATCAGAACTTGAGCTGGGGCTGTTCAGACAGTTCATCTGAGCAGAAAGGCATTTACAAGTTCTTTTTGTTGGTTTCTTTATTTTTCAGCTACATACATCTTTGAACTTTTGAATCTAGATAAGCCAAGATTACTGTTTCATTTGAAAGGACAAATATGTTTTGTGAGGCATGGTGGGCTAGGGAAGGCTGTGGGAGGTGTGAAGCACTTGGGTATGTTGAGCTTGTTTAGAGACTTTCTGGAACAGAACTCTGGGCATAGGCAGGGAAAATAACTAGACCAGTGGTAGTGCAGATGCAGATTCAGTGCAATTAGCCACCTTACTAATTCTGGTGCATAAACAGTGGGCCAAGGTCACGATGGAACAAGAAGAGCCTCTGCACTGCTCACACAGCCCATCTCTTCTGCAGAGTGGCAGAAGAGCCACAATAATCTTTGTACACAATGGTTACAGGAATAATAGGGTTCTCCTCACTGACAGGCTTTTTTCTTTAAATCCAGATAGTGCTTTGTTCTCCATTCTTCCCATCCTCCTTCTCCTCAACCTAGCCAGACAAAAAGAAGCCCAACTTTAGTACCGTGTTATAGTCACACACAGCTCACATTACCCTAGCAAAAATAAAACACAGACACCCCTCCCTCCAAGACCTTTGGTAGAAAAGCTGCATCTAATAGTACATATTCAATTAACATCTGGACCTAACAGATGCTACATGCCAACGGCTTCTAGATCTATATCTCTGACCAATCCTCTCTCTTTAGCCCCAGCCCCATAAGCCAACTCTCTACTTACATCTCTTGGATAGCTCAAACTCAACATATTTAAACTCAAACTCATGATCTACCCCTAAATGGCACCTCTACCCCCACTTCCACACCTAGTACACCTCCATGAACCCAGGTCTATGTAAGATACTAGTCTCACAAATGCTCTGCCCCCAACCCTACCACAGCCAATTCATCACCTGGTCTTGTTGGTCCCACCTCCAAAATCCATCCTGGATTTTCCTCTTTCCGTCTGCACTGCCACCACCATCATCAGAGCTCACCTCAGTTCTCACCTGGGCAACTACAACATCCTCCTCACAGGACTCTGCCTCCAAGTGACTCTCCACATGGCAGTGGGTGGTCAGGTTGGATGGGGATGTGTGGGATGGTGTGGGCAGAGCGGAACACATGAAGTGGAGAGTCAAAATCAGGAGGCTCTGCACTGTTCCCATGAGGAGTGATGCAGACCAAGATTGGGGGTGTAATAATGGGAACCTGAAGAAGTGAAAGACACCAAGGGTCTTGTGGATGCTGACTTTTCAGGCAGAAAATGATGCAGAAAAAAAGGGAAAAGGTCCAGGGGCTGGAGATGGGGCATGGGGCCTGGGAGCTGGGAAGTCAGTGCCACTACTAAGAAAGTTAAGAAAGTTAGGAGGAAGAGCTGCTTTAGCAGTTCAAGGCAAGCCTGTTGATCTTGAGAAAGAGAAGAATAGTTTCACACAGTGTCTTATATTCCATTTATCTGTTTTATGTAACAGGATCTAATAATCACTTGGATACTGAGCTTCTTGGGGTAGGGACAGTATCTCCTATAGCTTGGAATCCTTGACCTCTGAAAACCACACCTCACTTTCAAAATACCTTTTCCTGGCTCTTCTGCACAGCTTCATTCCTTAAATACCACATCTCACAGGCAGTGCTAAAAGCTGGCCTCACTAAGGATGCTGGGCTACATGTGGGCAGCTCAGAAGAGTGGAGGGGCCCCAGGAAGACCAGGATGAACAGACTCCAAGGAAACATCAAATGCCAGTAAGTCAACCAATGAGGGGAGGGAAGAGGAGAGGGCACCCGCCCCTACCCGCAACCTTCCCGCCAGGAGCAGGTGGTTCCCAACTCTGCAGAGCAGACAAAACCAACATGTGCCAATAGCTGAGGAGTGATTCTCAGGATCTGACCAATTGTTCCTTTAGTAAAATAATTCCATCAAGACACAGCATTTTTTCAGTTTTAGCCCAGAGGGTCTCAAGCAATGGACACTGCAGGAAAAAGAGAACAAATTAAGATGCTGCTCTGCTGCTGACCATGGTCTCTATTTGCATGAGCAGATGTGGCCAAAAACACCATCTGGTGACCCCTGGGCCCTCACACCTCTGTGCACATGGTGGTGGGAGGAAGCTGGCTCTGTTTTGAGGCTAAAAGGGAAGTCTTGGCTTCAGGAGATGTGCCCATTCATCATTGCTGCCGGGCAGCCCGTCTGTTTCCCACTGTTGCTGCCCAGCCACCCACAGACCCGCCATATGGCTGAAAGTGGTGGTTTCAGGCACTGCTAAAATGCCATTATCTACCTGCCCTGCTGAGAAGGAAGCCCGTGGTGAAGTGGGCCCTCCATAGTAAAGCGGCACACTCTGTCCCCAGTCAGTGACACTGCCAAGAGCTATCCATCTACTTTCTTAAGATTTCTGGAATCCCTCCAGTTCTCTCCATTCCCACTACCACTGCCTTTGCTCAGACAATCACTGTTTCTCCACTAAAATAATACAAAAACTTCCTGTCATGTCTGCGTTTCATCTTGCTCCTCTTCTATCCAATCTCTAAAATAATATTCCTTGCTTAAAGTCCTGGATACCTCCTCCTGCCTTCAGGAGAAAGTATAAGCTTTTTGGCACATAGATCCCTTCAAAAGTAGCCCCTATTTTCTGCTTTTGCTTTGATTGTAGCTAGTTGCTCTCTTCCCCTACATTTCAGCTATGTGAATGCATTTCATTCTCCTCAAATGCACTGGGTTCTCTGGTCTGCCTCCATGCCCTGCCATCTCTCTTTTTTTTTCATCTGGCTAACTTAGGTCACAGTAAATGTCCATTGTTCCTTGACTCCAAAGACTAGTTTAGGCCACTTCTACCCACTTCTTCCTTTGGAAGTCCATACTTAACTACAACCACAGAATTTCTCATGCCGTATCAAATTATATATGTACTTGTCTGTCCCCTCTTAGACTGCTGCCTCTGGAAGTTTTGTTTTATTTATCTCAGCATCTATCAGCCCTAAATTTTTTTAAATGAATGGATAAAATATACTTGTCAAAGACAGGCATTAAATTAGCAACCTCTCTGGCAGGACTTGGGAAGGGCTCATGGCCTCTTAATGTCATTAAAAGTATTCCTACCACTCACTCTAAGCATGGATGGTGAATATAGTATGTATTTCATTATATCAACAAATAGCAAAATTTTTTTCATGGATATACAGGCTCAGGGTAAAAAATCGTCTATTTGCTGCCAAGAAATACCTATGATGTACCTGGTATAAAGCAGGCATTCATAATAAACAGAAAAAATGAAATATCATCATCAAAAGATTAAGATCCTGTTCACTTTCCCATTGGAATAAGGGTTGACACCTCAAGTCACCTCTCAATGTTTTCTCCACTAAAGACCTCTCTGGAAAGTCCTGGACCAATACTGCAGAGCAGATCTCAAATTTACTACCAACTCTCTGCCTCTCAGGAAGGGAGAGATGAAGGTTACTTTACCTATCATCAGGTGGTAAAACAGAGGCATAGAAAAGCAAAATTGCTCCTTGGGGACACAAACAGAATTGGCCCCACTCCAGATGCTCATTCTCTGCTTTCCCATTCTCGCCCCTAAGAGAGAGAATAGCCAAGCCAAGGACACCTAATCTTGGAGAACAGTGAGCTGCAGTGGGCATAGAAAGGGCTATTGTATCTTAGTAGTTCTCCTGTTCTGCAATCTCTTCATGTACCTGACCAGAAAACATACTTATAAGCCTCTAAGGAACGGTGGAATGTCAGCAGGCAGTGCAATATAATGCCAAGTACTTTTCTCACTAATAAGCACAATTAAGGTCATTAAGTTATGAGTGTGAGAACATTCAACTGGAGGATATTTAAATGATGACATAACTGCTTTGCAAAAAGCCTGATTAAAAGAAGAAAGCAGCAGCTGAGTGAATCTGCAAAGTGGTGAGCATATCAGAAGCCTCCACACCATGTAGAAGAACATCCTTCTTGGGCTCTGTCCCCACTGACCCCAAGAGCCTTCCCCCATGCTTCCCCACCCCCACCACTCCAGGGCCTCATCTCTGGTGGACTAGCAGTTGGAGAGGAGAGTTAATATACTCAGTGGAAGGTGCGAAGAAATTCTTTTTGAGGTAGTATTATTTAATTTATTCCAAAGGCCAGTGGTACAAATAAATGAATAAAGCCTGTCATTTCATAATGAAAGGGGCAGGCTCTGGAGCCCAGGCTGCACGGAGACTGGCCACCTTCTTGCACTTCATGGCTCTCTGAACCAATTTTGGAAGCGGGACTGGGGTTAGACAACTTCTAGACAATGTTCACTAGGCAACACCCACATCTCTGTCTAGGGTAGGAATAGAAAGGAAGAGGAAGAGGAATGGAGTAATAATAAAAGCAATAACTCCAGCAGTTATTTATTCAGCACTTGCTATCTGCCAGGCACCATGCCAGGAATTCCACAGACATTATATCTAAGCCTGTCAATCACTCTGCCAATGAAATAGAGCCATTACCTCCTCCATTTTACAGATGAGGAAACTGAAGCTCAGAAAAGAACACCTAGCTTTGGGAACTTTTCAAAGCCACATAGAGAGTGAGTAACTAAGGGGATGTGAGGGGGAGAACAAGAGACCACCTCCACCACCTATGTTCATCAGAAGGTTTACCATCTTGACCTCCCTCATGACTCCCCACACCATCAGCTCCTTAAGGAGGCAGAAGCAGAGGCAAAGTAGCAGCACGAGAGGAAGAAGAGCCATCCCTGAAAGGTGACTGTAGGGATCTGGACATAGGACAGGTCTTCGATACACACAAAGTTGGTATCTGCAGTTACGATTTATGAATCTCCCAGTTCCTCCACTTCCTAGCTGATTTTAGGCAAATGACTTATCACCTTTCTGTGCCTGTTTTCTTACCTGTAAAATGCGAATAATAGTCCCATCTCACAGGGTTATCAGGATTAAATTAGTCAATATGAGTTAAGAGTAGCCCATAGTAAGTGTCTAATAAATTTTAGCTCTTACTATCATCAACATTGTCATTATCCTGACTGCTCCAAATATAAGATCAAGGCATCCTGGTACTGTCAAGTACCAGGAACTTGGGGTTAAATCTCCTCCCTTAGTCTGATCAGGATCCAAATGGTCAATATAGACACCTTCCCAAGTCAAGCATTGGTTCCAGAGAGTGAGTCTGTCACCCTTCAGCTCCTGACATGTAGCCCTGAGTCCAGTGAACTGAGACTATTGCCAACAATAAATTGCTCACATTGACAGCTTAGAGCAAAAGAGTTCTTTGTGAGCATCGTGTCTTTCATCTCAGGGGAAAAAAAAAATCGTAAAACTGGCCTACCCTCTCGGTGTTCCCAGTGGGGTTCACAAAAGGGCAGCCGTAGGGTGCTGAGGGAGCACTTCAGAAGATTGAAATGTAAGCTCTGTTTCTTCCTGTCAGTAACTGTGTCATGTCTGGAAAATTGATCCACTTTTCTGTGCCTCACTTCTTCAACTGTGTTACTATGATGATGAAGTGGCATAATGTATGTAAAACACTGTTTGCTCAAAGCAGTATAACAATATAGAGAACTAGAATTATTATTTTCATTCTTCCTAAATCAAATCCACTTAGTCCAGCGTAAAGCCCTTACTCCTCTCAAACCAAACCTCACCTACATACTCCCACTTCCTCTTCTGGCTTGGTTTCAGGATCTCAAGGGAGCAGCTGATGGAGGGGACAAGGGGCGTGGCACATGCCATCAGGTCTGAACTCCCAGAAGTAAAAGTCATGGGCTCTATTTTCAGCAGGGCTGGCTGTAGAAAGGTCAGCATGTGACCTCATGTGAGTCTTCTCCCTGCCTCAAGCCTCGTGCTCGGCTTATAAGCCTGGGGATAAGAAACAGCCAGGTCTCTAGGGCCCAGATGACTGTGAAAAGCGGGTCAGTAATTTCATATGGAGCAAGCAGCAGCCATGTCTGGCTGCCAGGGAATGGTGGCAGACACAGTGCCGGGGAGGGGATGGCAAGATGCTGCTGGGGCAGATATCACAGTTCAACACCACATGACTGCTGCTGGGGCAGATATCACGGTTCAACACCACATGACTCCTCCCAGACTCAGCTAATATCCTCTAACTCTCAGGATCAAGTACTGGAGAGAAGTGCTTATTGTCATTCCACACAGTGACCGTCTTGGTTCCAGCTTTCAGCAGTATCCCAGAAAAACTGATTTCCATAACTATTTCTTATGCCTTCTCGACCACACAGGAATGAGACATCCAGTGGGTGAAATTTTAAAAACAGAATGTCCAAATGGCCTGTCCATAATAAAGTCGGGGGTTTATGAGCTACATGTGTCACTGATAATTCAGTGCTTTCTCTCACATTCACTCGGATTCTCTCACTGATAGATTTCAGAAGCTCCCCCTGCAAGTTTCTGAAGTGAGTGGGAGAAGAGTGGCTCTAGAGCAGGTACTGCTTTCACATGATACAATGTGAAGAAGTAATCATATGGGCCAGAACACTCTCACACTGATGCCATGCTGATCAAATTCATGGATAGCTGGAGGCTAGGGAGGTAATAACCAAGTGGATAGATTAAATACCAAGATCCTTTAAAATGACACCAAAAGCACAAGCAACAAAAGAGAAAAAATAGAAAAATCAGAATCCATCAAAATGTTAAACTTCTGGCATCAAAGGACACCATCAAGAAAGTGAAAAGGCACTTTCACTTTCTTGCAAATTATGTATCTGACAGATAATCAACCATAAATTTAAAATTGTAACTTGGTTAAAGCTATATCCAATCACATGGATGCAAAAAGGCTGAAACTTACTTATATGAGAGGTCCCAGGAACCACTCAGATAACGGTGGTAAATGGGAACTCAGGACCACTTCCAGGGTTATATCTCCAAGTAGTCAGGGTACAATGGCTCTTCTTAAGTGCCAAGAAATTGTACCCAGTGGGGAAGGACTCACTCTACTGGGAAGCATGAAGTTTGGTCCAAAAAGCCAATTGCCAAAGCAAAAGATGGTAGAAATGTGATTTCTCCATATGTAGATGCTTGCCAAGAATAAGCTTTGTCTAGGAACATTGGTATCGGGTGAGATTCTGCATGAGGAGAAGGAAAGGGAGAATGCAGCCCCACCCAGTGTCTTCTGGCCCAAGCTCAAATCAGGATCTAGGAAAAAGGACTGGGAAGAAAAAAAAAAAAGCAAGCTGAATGGAAAAAGCATTCTATTATTGGCAGTATGATGTGATCCTGTTCTGTCCTAGTGCCAGGGCTGAGCACAGGTGGAGGAGGGCATTTCCCCCACATTGGAGCAAACTACAGAGCTTCTGCATGTGTCTATGGGTGACACAGAAGAAGTAACATTAGCACTTTGATGGAAAAAAAGATCCATCCCAGTGGGGGTGGGGGTTCACATAGCAATTGAGAAATGATGTGGTATGTGTCAGTAGTGGCCAGGGAAGGAGAGCAGATGCTACCAGGTGGAAGAACAAGCACCTATGGTCACCCAGAGTTGCCAAGAGACATTACTTTTACCCCTTAAGCCATAAGTTGGGTTCTAATGATCTTTCTGGTCAGCAACAGAAAAAGAAACTGTTTTGTACCTGCTACTGTGACTCTTTTCCATGTCTGTTTCCACATTGGTGTAGCAAAGGAAAATGAGGAGACGCATTTGGATAAATGTCGAGTCATAGAATTTGGTGCAATAAAAAGCCCACCGCAAAGGCAGATGATGGTAGAGACATGGTTCTTAGCACAACGGAGGAAATGAGTGCAAGGTTCTTCTTAATCTCAATCTCTGTGAGTGTCATCACTGGAGTGCTGGTTAATTACCTCAGAAAATGAATGGCTAATTATCCATCTGTTCTCACATCATTTCTAATTGGCTGACACATAGTAGGGTTTTGATAAATATTTGTGGAGGGGAGAGAGAAAGAGAAGCAAAGATGGAAGGCTTAAATCATACATTCAACAAAGTGTTCAGAAAGGCTTTTGCTCAGAAATCCTGCTTCCCTTCCACTTGTTAAGGTGCTGGATTCCATCCAAGGCTGCCAGCGCCTGCATGTGAGCACAGCTCAATATAATTAAACACCTGAGCTTCCCAGGAGGGATGGAATCAAAATGACAGCCAGGGGAGAACCTGTAGCTTCTGCCTGTGCCCCGCCTCTCTGCTTGCAAGACGGGGCTGGATGGGTAGTCCCCAACAGCCTCGATCACTTTGTGTTTTCACTGCAGGGCTGCTGTCAGTATGTTCTCTGTTAATTTGAACATTTGGGCCAGGCTTCATAGGGACTTCTTAGAGTTTACTGTCGTTTCCCCAATGGGTGCATTCTAACTTCCTCACACCAAACCGAGTGATCTTTAAGAAGGGGGCCCAGCCCTCATTTATGTGATCAGGAAGAGGGACACTCTATGCCCACCCCTGCTCTGGCTCAGCCACCCCCATTCCTGCCCAGACCAGTTCTGTTTCCCATCTCTTCTGCAAAGGAGGAACAAAGGATCATCCTCTGACCAGGGTTGGCTCTGCAAGCAGGGCACGTGCAGCTCTGCAGAACTCACTGGTGATTTTTCACATATTAGATTTTGTTTTAAAGCCTTCTGCTCCTTTTGTTCTTCCTACCAAGACTTCTCTCCTTGCCAAGCTTTCTTGCAGTGATGGTGGGTTTTTATCACCACGTAGCTATGATTCAGAGCCAGACCTCTAGCTGATGAGAGCTGAAATTATTCTCTCCCATGCATGCAAAGAGGGTCACAATGGGGAAAAGCGAAAATGGAAACATTTGTTAGTCTGCAAAATCACTGTCAGGTGAGAATTTACAGAGTTGGCCCTAACAGCTTCTCATTCTGCAGTATCCTCATTGGAAGATTTTCTTCTTGATATTTAGTTCTACAAACAAACCCTTATCAAGCTCTTCTTATACAAAGCATTGGGCTGTCCCTATTCTCTGTTACCAGCTTTGCATATAACACCTTCTCCCTCCTTTACACACTCATCCAACACCTACCAAAGTCCCTGGTGGAATTGTGGAACCATTCATCCACATTAATGAACAAACAACACACACAAGGGGTAGTTAAAGAATGGCATTAACATCAACTAGCAGGCCATCTGTGGCCCTGGAGTGAACACTAGGCAGAAACAAAGGTTCTGAAAGGGAAGCATCTTTACCTTCATTTATGCCATTTAATTTGCATCGTTTCCATTTTCAGAAGAAGAAACGGGCCCAGGACTTAAGTACCTTCCTGACTATTAAGTAGTGCAGACAAGATCCATACCCATGCTTGTCTCCTTTTGATCCCAGGGACTGTCTATGCTATACAATTTCAAAAATGGAAGTTTTTCTCCTGACCTAATGGCAGCTGCACATGCAGCTTGACTGGTTTCACTGGCAGTGGAGATGACTTTCATAAATCGTCCTTGCTGTCTAGGTAGTCTCCTTTCTGAGTAGTATCAATTCAAAGAGGGGCTGTCCAGGAGAAGGGGGCAGTTTTTGATGCCAACAAGCTGACCACTATCATGGGCTATAGCATCTTCTGTCTAAACAAACTGAGTCATATAATCCAGAAATCCCTGGTGGAGTCCTCCAAGTAAAAAATCAAGTCTGCATCTCAGTAACTTTTCTAAATTGAAGACTACAGGATTGAGATCTGGATGTTAAAAAATTTTCATCAAATTGGCCTTGCTGCAAAATGTTGCAATCCCTGTCTTTTGACACATGGTAAACAGTCAGAGGTGGTCATCAAGCACCAAAAAAAAATTTCATCAAATTGGCCTTACTGCAAAATGTTGCAATCCCTGTCTTTTGACACATGGTAAACAGTCAGAGGTGGTCGTCAAGCACCAAAAAAAAAAATTTCATCAAATTGGCCTTACTGAAAAATGTTGCAATCCCTGTCTTTTGATGCATAGTAAACAGTCAGAGGTGGTCATCAAGCACCAAAAAAAAAAAAAAAAAATCATCAAATTGGCCTTACTGCAAAATGTTGCAATCCCTGTCTTTTGACACATGGTAAACAGTCAGAGGTGGTCATCAAGCACTAGCCTACGGCAAAAAGGAGTCTGAGGGGCTGACAAGCCAGAAGACACAGAACAGGTGCTCAGCCCCTTTCTAATCAGCACATCTTTCTTTCTGCCCACTATTTGGCAACAAGGGGTTGTGGCTGCTCTTTCTGCAGCATTCAGCTCCCAGGTCCCTGCACCAGTGCCCTGTTCATTGCTGTCAGTGACTAGGGTGGCAACACAGACTGGTGGAAAGACAATGAGATTGGGGGTCAGAGATCTGGGTTTGCATTCTGCCTTCACCATTCACAAGAAGGTTGACCGAAGGCAAGAGAATTGACCTCCCTGAGCCTTAGTTTCCTCACCTATAAACTAAGATAATAACACCTGTGACATAAAAGTGTTGGGAGAGGTGAATAAAGAATGTGTATAATGTGCTCTGCACACAGTATATGTTCAATCATTCATCATTATTAATACTGTTATTACTTACCTATCATTGTAAGTGATGCAAATCCTAACCATTATTCACTGGTCAAGTAAACTCTCTCCTCTTTTATGCCACATTCATGGCCATATTACACAAAAGATCACCATCTTCCTAGAAATCTGAAAGCTTATTCCATGAACACTTAGTGCTTTCCAGCTGCACGTGGTTTTCCTACTTGCATTTGTGTAGATTGTAAGTTAACTGTGGAGAAAATACCATATTTTCTCTCTCTTCCTCCATTCATTCTATATTTATTGAGCCCACTGTGGACCATGGATTGGCTCACACAGCCCCTGACCTAAGCTGCTTGAAGTCTGGTTGTGAAGACATCAGTACACAGATGCACTATGATAAATCTCAGAAAAACCTTAGGTGCCTGGCCCACGGCTCTTCCCAAATAAATGGGGTATATACTGCCTGACCCCTCCTTGACCTCCTCACTGGGGAGACACCCTGCACATGTGCCCATAACAAGCTGTCCTTTCCTTAGTGGAGACTCATCTCATTGACTCATCTGGCTCCCCTACCAGACTCCAATAAATATAGAAGGTCCTTTCCTTCTTTTTTAAAAATATAATTTTAATTCAAATGTCAATTATAATGTGGAGATGTTGCTAACATCCAATCCTTTGTTTCTAGTAATATTTTGCTTCTATGTCTGTTGTCTCCTTTGAAACATGTAACTAACCTGCACAATGTGCACATGTACCCTAAAACTTAAAGTATAATAAAAAAAAAAAATCTGAACTTGCCACATCAGATATATATTTCTTTTATACTAAAAATAAAGTTATTTTCAAAGCAAAAAAAAAAAAAAAGAAGGAAAGGGATTTTTCAAATATTGTGGGTACCTATAAGATCAGAGACAATGACCCTTATCGGTTGGCATTCCATCATTAAAGCTTCTGAACATCTAAAACTTGTTGTAAATTCCTCTGCCCAGTGCAGTAATCCAGCTATGAACAAGGATGATGTCCTCCCACAATACACACAAGATATTTTGTCACCATAATTATAGTTCAAAATAATAG